>NC_000002.12:21297634-21449149 GCF_000001405.40 Homo sapiens | reverse complement strand
TTTACCTCAGTGAGATCATTAAGCTCCTGATATTGACTAGGAAGTGAGCTCCAAAATATTCCCTTTGTTCTAACTGCATCAGTTACTGTATTTGTGAAATGGGAATAACAGAGCTGTTGGAAGGAACAATTATTAAAAGTGATTATGAAGAACTGTGCGATCTAAAGTGCTTGTTAAAATTGAGAAGTGCTCAATGTACCCTTCCCAATTCCCCCCAGACTATGAAAACCCCATTTGTAGAAATATCACAAGCTTGCCTAGACAGCAAGTATTTTGAAGCGTATGCTTCACCATTTAAATCTGTCATCTTGCAAAGTAGCTCATTATTTCAGAAATATGAGCATTTTAAAGGTGCTGCTGCAGTCCTCCATCACAAGTTTTCACTGCTTTTATTTAAAATAAGCCACCTTGAAATCAGTCTCCAAATCCACATCTTTGCACATAGGTTTTAAGTAGCAGTTATATGTGTGTGCATGCGTGTACACTTTAAGTGTGATGTCTAGGTGATGTCTCTGTTAATTATTCCTGTTAGAATGATCTTTCTCCTTTAGAATTCCCATTCTGTTGAACAATAAGTGGAAGAATTCATTTTCTCTTGTACACCTCATTGAAATGAGCTTTAGTGAGAAGTTAACTTGGCTAATTTGTTTGCTTTGTGTAATTATTATAATCACCCACTAAGTACCACCAGTGAGTAAGCACTAATATCCTACAAGAACATCACAGGCACTCTTTAAAAAGTCTTTATTTTAGCCCATGGAATGTATTTTTGCTTCCTTCTCTATTGCAAGGAGACAAAAGGAATGAGAGAAGCTGAAATCCAATTAAAACCCAAGTGTAAATAAACTCAGGTTTCACCATGAGAAGGTGACAGTGAGTAGAAGGGTTGAGATAGTAACACAAAGGAAACAGTCACATGCTACAGAAGGCAGTATGACTTCATTGTTATGTGTTTGGGCTCCATCATCAGACTGCCGGAGTATGACACTTGACTCTAAAATTCATTGTGTAAACTTGGGAATGTTACTTGTCTGTGTTCTAGTCTCCTCACCTGTACAATGCAGGCAATAATAGTGCACACATCAAATTTATATTGTGGGGAATCAAAGGAGAGCATAGGTATAGAGCATGTAGAAGAGAGCTTGACACATAAGAAATGCTCCATCATGATGAGCTGGTGCCAGTAGGAACAGCACAGATTTGGAGAGACGGCTAGGAACAGGTGCCAGGGCCCCTTTACAGGAGGGAGCTATATGAAGAGGATGGAGTCACAGCCACCCACCTGTGCCAAACTCTTCTCGCCATGCAAAGCAGTGGAAGAGGAAGGGAGAAGTGCCTGGGAGTCAGAAAACTGGGCTTCCACTTGCAGCTCGGCTACATGCGTGCATTCCATTGTAACTACTCCAGACACTTGGGCTAGTTGTCTTACACCAAATCTTAATTCTGCACATGTAAAAATGGGGAAATAGTTACTCTTACCACAGGTTTGTTGTAGAAATCAGTGGAGGGAATGCACATGAAAGCACTTTTCACACTGAGAAGATCCAGCCGCTACACATCTGAGGGAATTAATGCTAAAAAACACATGGCTGTCTCTATTTTACTATGCAGTGTATCTATTTTCATGTAATCCACATCCTCACTGACAACAAAGCACAAGTTTTTTACGGCCAATAGTCCTAAGAGGATTTATCATCAAACATTTCCTCCAAGGGCAGAGTGGGACACTGGGCGTATGGGACCTTGACCTAAAAAGTCTCTGCCTGCTGCTTTCCCTACAGAGGTCTGACGTGAGGAAGAAAGAGCTCAAGAGAACCTGTCGTTGCTTGTGCCAGCTAGACGGAAGGTGTCAGGGAGACTCACTAGCTGCTGTTGTGGGTGAACATGTAATTTTAAAAAGAGCAAAGGCCTAGGGATTTCAGAATATTCATACAAGGTGGTGCTCATGTTTGCCATTCACTAATCTCCTTGTTCAGTGTCCTCTCTGCAGTGGTTGCCCCTGGCTGTCCCAGGGATGTGTACTCCAGTTCTGTGGATAAGAAAAGGACTAGTCCAGTACTTTATTCAGCCAATATTGATGAAGTGCCTTTTATGTGCAAGGGCTGCCCAAGACATTGGAGGGATATTTGTGAGCAAAACCAAAATACAACTTACCTTTTATTCATTATTTATTTAGCGAAGGCTTCTTCACTCTCTGCTGCGTGCTGGATAATGTTCTAAACACTAGAGCTATAGCAGGAAAGAAGACACAGTCCTTGCCTCCACGTTTCTTGGAGCTTGTGTTTCAATGGGAAAAATGGATTGTAAACTAATTCTATAATCAAGTATTTCATTACAATCATGGAGCCTGCTGTGAAAAGCAAGTACAGAGCACCATGGGAGCATTTTACAGGGGATCTAACTGAGAAGTCCAGAAAAGCTGCTTGAAGAAAACGAAACTTCATCTGCGATTGAAAGGATGAGTATTGGCTAGCTGGGCAGAGGAGTGTAGAGAAGGAAAACGTTCAGAAAAATAAAAATACCATGTGTAAATTCCTAATATAGGAAGGTCATGAATTTTCAAAGAACCTCGAGAAGGTCAGTGTGGCTGGACTGTGGAGACAGAGGGGAGGAGAGATGAGAGGTTAAGTTGGTTGACGGGGTGGTGATTAATCATTTAGGCCACACAAGGCCACACTAGGGGTTCCAAGATCTATGCCATAGAAATGGGAAATATTTAGAGGTTTTATCAGGAAGACTGCATAATAAAATTTGTGTTTTGAAAGACCACTCTACATATTCTGTGGAAAAGGGATTGGTAGAGGCAATACTGGATGTGGAAACCAATAGAACATTATCACAGCAGACTAAGCTGGAGGCGCTGTGGGATAAGGACAGTGGCTGTGAGTATGGGGCCAAAGGGAGAAGTAGAGGATATCTGAGAGATGTTTTAGGTATTACAATTTGCTCAATGTATTTTCTGAATGGTTGGCATGAAGAGAGTGGTGTCAAAGAGAGTGGTGCCACAATCGACCTGGGTGGCAAGCCACATTCCAGGTTTGCCACCCAGGCTGACTATAACGCCCCATTCACTCAAAGAGGTAACTGTGGAGATTCTGGGATGGGAACAGATGAGTTCACGTCTTTTTTTGTAGCATTTTAGGTATTTGTGAGACCTCCATGGGAGGATGTCTAACAGTTGGACTGGAGCTCAGAGGTAAGAACAAAGTGGAGATGGAAATCTGGGGATGTTATGGGCTGAACTGTGTCCCTCAAAAAGATATCTTAAAGTCTTAACTCCCAGTACCTTGGAGTGCAGCCTTATCAGGAAAGAGAGTCATGGCAGATATAATTAACTAAGATGAGATCATACTAGAGTAGAGTGGGTTCCTGCTCCAATATGACTGGTGTCCTTATAAGAAAAGGAGAAGACACAGCCACACGAGGAGAGCATACAAAGTGCTGTACCTGCAAGCCAAAGAGCTCCTGGGGCCATCAAAGGCTGCAAGAGGAAAGGATAGATTCTCCCTACAGCCTTTGGAGAGAGCATAGCCTGGTAGACACCAGGATTTCAGACTTCCGGCCTCCAAAAGTATTGCTTTAAGATACACTCTTTGTTGTACTTTGTAATAGCAGCCCTGGAAACTAAGACAGGGAGTTACGGGTCAATTGATGGTCACTGAAGCCAAAGTTGTGGTGAGATCATCCACAGATACAGCACAGAGTGGAGATGGAGGACCCAAGTCTGAGAAGCCCCAAGGTTTAAAGATCAAGTGGAAGAGGGTTAGATGACAAAGGAGACAGAGAAGGGGCCATCCATCCCCAAAAGATGTTTGAGGGGGTTGGCAAATGAAGTGACATGGAGTTAAAATAGTTTCAGCAAAAGGATCCCAAACCCCAAAGCACCACAGCTAACATGTGGATGAAGATGAAAGGCCAAGTCTGCCCACCAAGAAACCTGCCTGAGTTTCCTTCCTGAACCCAAAGCCATCTGACTTTAGACTTTAAAAAGACCTTGGTTTTCACAGTAAATTAAAGTAAGAGCATATTTTGATATTCAACATTTCAAAGTTAAATATCCAAAGTTAATTTTGGGAGGAAAATTCTCAGCTCATTAATTACACAAAAATAGAGATTCTTTTCCCTGGTCATAATATTGAGATTTTCGACAGGTAATCACAGGTTATCAATCCTGCCTCAAATTAGAATTACCTAGAATGTTTCTATTAAAAAAACACCAGTGCC
Organism: Homo sapiens; assembly: GCF_000001405.40. Classification (NCBI taxonomy): domain Eukaryota; kingdom Metazoa; phylum Chordata; class Mammalia; order Primates; family Hominidae; genus Homo; species Homo sapiens. Next base: position 21,444,925 of record NC_000002.12, on the reverse strand, counting down.
AGGGGCCCACTTCCACAGAATTATGATTTATTTTGTCTCAAGGAGGACCCAGCTATCGGTATTTTTTCTTTTCTTTTTTTTTTTTTTTGAGATGGAGTCTTGCTCTGTTGCCCAGGCTGGAGTACAGTGGCGTGATCTCAGCTCACTGCAAGCTCCACCTCCCGGGTTCACACCATTCTCCTGTCTCAGCCTCCTGAGCAGCTGGGACTACAGGAGCCCTCCACCACGCCTGGCTAATTTTTTATATTTTTTAGTAGAGACGGGGTTTCACCGTGTTAGCCAGGATGGTCTTGATCTCCTGACCTCGTGATCCGCCTGCCTCGGCCTCCCAGCTATCAGTACTTTTAAAACTCTCAAGGAGGACCCAGCTGTTAGTATTTTTTAAACTTCCCAAGAGGATTCTAATGTATAGTTGGGTTTGGGGCACACTGGAGGGGAGCCAGAGACCCAGGTGCTCTGCCCCCTCCTCTGTTTCACATCAGGGGATCAGCTACCCACTCTGTGTGCTGACAATGTCCTCTCACCCTTTCCCTCTTTTTACAGAGAAACTAGGCTGTGTGTGTACATCCCTTCACATTTCTACGTCTGTATTTACCTATGTGATGATACACAAGTGTGTATCACATGAGTTCCTTGATTTGTTGGTTAAGTCAGCGAACATATATTGAGCATCTACAAGTCTCTAAGTTTCCTAGTATTTGGCAAAGCATTTAAAATAAGACTTAGGCCCTCATACCATGAAATTCAGTCTGGTGTAGGAAAATGAGAGCAGGCTGTAAGAATATAGGATAGTAAGTCTCTAATCAGGAAGAAGCACAGGGTGTTGTGAAATGTGGAGGTCTTAATTCTGCTGAGAGGAACAAGGAAGGCTTAATAGATAAAACAGTTTAGGTTTCTTTTTTTTTTCCCTAACACAATGCTATTAATAGTTAAGTGAATACAAAGAGGACATTCCTGACAGAGAGAACTTCTTGGACAAAATCACAGCTGTGCAAAGGTAGCCTATTCAGGAACTCCACAGTGCTAGTGTCAGGGCCCAGACAAGTAGGCCACGTTGTCACAGAGTCCATGCAGCACACAGGAGTGCAGTAACGAAAGGCTGCCTGTGCCATGACAAGGGGTTTGTGCTCCTCAAATCTGAGGTTTTTCTTAGTCGGCTCCAGCTGACATAAAATATCACAGACTGTGTGTGAGTTAAACAATAGGAACTTATTTCACACAGTTCTGGAGGCTAGGAATTCCAAGATCGAGTTTTTGGCCAATTTCCTTCCCTGGTGAGGGCCTTATTTCTGGCTTGTAGATGGCCAGCTGCCTCCTGGCTGTGACCTCACATGGTGAAGAGAGCTCTGGTGTCTCCGTGCCTTCTTACAAGGACACTAATCTCATCATGGGGGTTCACCCTCATAATCTCATCTAAACCTAATTACCTCCCAGTGGCCCTGCCTCAAATACTACAACATTAGGTGTTAGTGTTCCAGCATACATTTTAGGGTGACACAAACATTCAGTCTGTAACAAGTGTATGTGCAAATCACCTGGGAATCTTTTAAAACACACATTTTTACACAGTAGTTCTGGCATGGGGCCTTAGAATCTGCATTTCTAACAAGTTCCCAGGGGATGCCGAAGGTGCTAGTGTAAGGACCATTCTTTGAGTAGCAAAGTTCGCAGCCATGTCAGAGCAGGGTAGCACAAATGGATTCCGAATTCCTCTCTCTTTTTTGATCTTTTATAAAAAAAAAATTTTAAACATACAGGAACTCACAGAGCATAATACAATAAAAACTCATTTTTTAATTGATACATAAAAATTATACATGTTTATGGGGCATATGTGATATTTTGATATGTGCATACAAAGAATAATAATTAAATCAGGATAATTAAGATATCTATCACTTCAAACATCATTCCTTTAAGAACATTCTAAATCTTCTCTTTAGCTATTTTGAAATAAACAATAAATTATTGCTAACTATTGTCACCCTCCTGTGCTATTGAACACTAAAACCTACTCCTTCCAACTAACTGCATTTTAGCACCCATCTTCCCCACTCCTTTCTAGCCTCTGGTATCCATCATTCTAGTCTCTACCTTCATGAGATTAACTTTTCGTAGCTTCTTCCTACATATGAATGAGAATATACAATATCTGTTTTTGTGTGCCTGAGTTACTTCACATAATGTCCTTCAGTTCCATCCATGTTGTTGCAATGACAGAATTTCATACTTTTTTATAGTTGAATAATATTCCATTGTGTACATATGCCATATTTTCTTTAACCATTCATTCACTGATGGACATTTAGGTTGCTTTCATATCTTCACTATTGAAAACATGTAATTTTTAATATTTTGTCATATTTACTTCATTTTTTTGCTTAGCTACTTAAATGTAAATTGTAGACATCATGAAATTTTACTACTAAATACTTCAGTATGCATCTTCAAAAATAAAGACTTTTCCCATATAACCATTACTCATCAAAAATAACAATAATTGTTAAATATCATCACATAGCGTAGTTGAATTTGTGTTTTAGGACATTATTTCTGGTGACTGTGTGGGAAGTGATATTTGCATGAGAAGGTATATATGTGTGTAAATATGTATATGTGGGAATGTGTGTAAGTGCATCCATCTACACATCTGTTCATGTGTACACAGATACATTATTTGTGTTGGTGGGTGTGTGCTTGGAGCACTCAGAGAAGAACTCTGAACACCAGGGATTTTCCTGTTTCCCTGGCTCCCAGGAGGCAGCTGCTTGCTCCATGGGGCCGGCTGCTCAGGATGATGTGGCTGCTGCCTCCCTGCATGGTGGGGACTGTTCGAGTCTATGACTGTATCCCTGCAATCCTTTGGCAGATGTCATAGCCTCTGTGTACCCAATGCATCTTAATTTCAGCAGGAAAGGAAACATAACAAGAGATATAAATGTGTCAAATACGTCAGGATCTAAAAATCAGGGAAGTATCTGGGATTTAGTCAGTTCATACTGAACAAGCCATTTGCATGAAACTAGGTTGATAAAGAGAGGTTCTGCAGGTGAGTGACAGGTGCTTTGCCCACCCTCATTATGGCGCTATAGAAGTCGCAGGTCCGCAGACGGAAGTCCACTAAGTGAGGTGCTCAGGGCGTGTTAACAACAAAGATTTCTTAGAGAAGGGCTTGGTGTATCTTTCCTCTCCCCTTTACACTCCTCTTGGCAGTTTAACATATTCGCACTCTACTGAGGTCACAGCCAACAGTATTGAGATGCTTGAGGCTTTGCAAAGAAAGAATCCACACTGTAATGATGGGTAGCTGAAACATGAGCTGATCAACCATACCCAGTAGTATTCACCCTCCCCACAGGTGCCTCTTGTCTTCTCAGCAAATTGTCGGAAGTGATCACATCACCCAGAACCAATCCAGGAATGACTTATTACTCCAATAACATCAAAAGTTGGCTGATTCCAATAGGGTAAAAACTATATCTTAAAAAACACGTAGCAAAATGTCGCAGGCAGAGTCCTGGGTTGGGGCGCAGAGGGAACTTATGCTGAGTGAACCTCTTTCCCCCTTCTCTGGACTGCTCATTACCAGGAAAACCAGTTCTACCCAGCACTGAGAGTGACCCCACTATTCCACATGCACTGGCAATGCAGAACACATAGTTAAACACGGGCTTGCAAAACAAAGGGATACGGGTTCAAGCCTCAGCTCTGCCATTTCTAAATGATGGAGTTTCAGCAAATCTCTTTACTCCTATGAACCTCCTTTGCCTCTTTGTATAAGTGGAATGATGAGACCCAAATTGCAATGTTGATAGAAAGAATAACTGAGTTAGTACATATGACTTGAGTTTTGATACCTATTATTTCAAACTAAACTAAAACTCAAGGAAGATATTGCCTGTGTCTAATATTTCTTTTTTGTATTTATACAATACAGTGGTAGACCCTAGAGGAGTTTAATAAATGTTTGTTGATGTACTGACATATTTACAGAATCTGCAACAATTTATTGGAAAGTTCATTAATTCATTGAACAAATGATATTATGTAGTTACTACATGCAAATCCCTGTGGAGAGGGAATCCAAGGGGGAGACTGATCGATGGGGAAGTCCCAATCTTCCCCTGTTTCAGCTGGAGCAACTCCTTCTTTACCTGTCTTATTACATGTTAAAGCTAGACAGTATATTTTGTTTGAAAAATTATGTTCATTTGATATTCCTAGGACAGGAGCTGAGGGATAAGGAGAGAGGCAGCACCTGGATCACTTAAGTCCTGCAATTGTTTTATGTAGTCTGGGGTCATACCACAATAATATAAGGCTTAGCTTGCTCCCAGCTGTTGGGAAGGTCAGGTGGGGTGTCTCAACCTAGCCCTAGGCTTAATGGGTTGCCATGAAGTTCTAACATTTTTGACCATAATATCCCCCACAGACAGTTGCCTTTGCACACATTGAATTTCCACAGGTCCCAGACACCTCTCGCACTCTTGGCACAGAGCTCTAAACACCTAGAGACCACAGGGCAAAAGAGCTAGGAGGCCAGCACTCCCCACAGTAGGGCCTGTGGAAGATGGACTCAGGGGAAAGGGGCACAAGCTGTATTTCTTGCTAATGTTTCCCTTAGCCAGAGACCACTGCTCACTTTTCCACAACCAAGATGGCAGAGGGACTGCAAACAGCCTCCCTTGATCCTTCTCCGTGAAGGATGCTACTCTCTCCATGTGGCTTGTTTCTCCCTAAGGGCCATGGTTGTTTTTGTAAACCTCTACTCCCTACTCACCTCTCTTCAGTGCCGGCCCCAGAAGCTGCAGGAAGATCACTTTAGTGTGTCTTTTTAGTTTGAATTTGTCCATAAGAATCATCCAGGAGGAACTGGCATAGACAAGAGTTGCTCCCAAAGCTACTATTGATCAGCTTATGTGAGCAAAAAAATGCAGGCATTATTCAAAAAGCTACATGAGAAATAATTCCATTCGGGAGGATTACATGGACTTTCAATTTAGCCATGACCGGACATGGCAATTGGCCTGTTCCATCATTATAATAGCCAACAAGCTTGGCTTCTTACTGAAACTGGATGTCAAATCTGGACAAATGGCTATACATTTTTTAAATTATTACTCTCACAAGTTGAAAAAAAATCTCAGGATATGCTAAAAAAAAGGAGTATGTACTCTTGAAATTATTTATGAAAGCAACCCTTTGTAGCTGTGTGAGGTGGTTGTGTATACAAAAGGCTATTTTCAGCTGGGCACAGTGGCTCACGCCTGTAATCCCAGCACTTTGGGAGGCTGAGCCAGGCGGATCACCAGGTCAGGAGTTTGAGAACAGCCCGGCCAGCATGGTGAAACCCCATCTCTACGAAAAAAAAAAAAATACAAAAATTAGCTACGCATGGTGGCACACACCTGTATTCTCAGCTACTTGGGAGGCTGAGGCAGGAGACTCGCTTGAACCCAGGAGGTGGAGGTTGCAGTGAGCCGAAATCACACCACTGCACTCCAGCCTGGGTGACAGAGCAGGATTCCATCTCAAAAAAAAAAAAAAAAAAATTCCTTGATGAATTCCCTTCTATTCATCAGCATAATACCCAAACTTAGGCCTTATAATGTTTTAATTCCCAGCCATAGAATAAAAAATGCTGGATTAGCTTTTATATTCTTTTCATGTAATTGCATTTGCTGCCATCTGGTCTGTTGAAGTCAGAGCAAGAACATTTTGAGATGGAGGGCAGATCTTGACCCAAAGAGTATTTGCGTGAGTCATTTAGAGTTCAGTGAGCGGTCATTTCTGAATGGCTGTTTCTGGGAAAACGCACTGGCCTGTGGGTAAAGAGACTTCAGTTTCAGTTTCAAACCTCACTCATAACCTGGGGTAAGATATTAACTTAGCAGAAATAGATAGACATTTCTTAAGACCATGAATATATATCTAAAAATTTAAAGCTAGAAATATGCTTAATGGAACCCTAAAAGCCTTATCGTTAATGTCAGAGAAATATAAGAATGTTCACTATTTCAATAGTTATCTTTAAACAAGTACAAACCCATGCAATTAGGAAGAAAAGGCAGAAATAAAGGTGTGAGAAATTGAAATCAAAAAAGGTTTCCACTATTTTGTGGATGATGAAATAGTTGTTATTTTACAAAAGACAAGACAGTCCAGATAAAACCCATTAAAAACAAAAAAGACATTTTAATAAATTCATACAGTTAATATTCCAATAAAATTTTCTTAGATACAAAATATAACCATCAGAAGATAAAATGAAATAAAATATCTAATTTACAATGCCATCTCCGAGAATAAAATAGCTTAAAATCAACTTGAGAAATCTGTAGAATCCATCTTTGTAGAAGTAAAGTATAAAACTACTGAGAAGCACGAAATAAGATAGAATTTCATGCCATGTGTATCAGTCCATTCTCACACTGCTATAAGGACATTCCTGAGACTGGGTAATTTATAAAGGGAGAAGGTTTAATTGACTCACAGTTCCATAGTGCTGGGGAGGCCTCAGGAAACTTACAATCCTGGCGGGAGGCAAAGGGGAAGCAAACACGTCCTTCTTCACAAGGTGGCAACGAGGAGAAATACAGAAGGAAGAGGGAGAAAGCCCCTTATAAAACCATCAGATCTCATGAGAACTCACTCACTACCACAAGAACAGCATGGAGCTAGCCTCCCCAATGATTCAATTACCTCCCACTGGATCCCTCCCATGACACCTGGGTTTTATGGGAACTACAGTTGAAGATGAGATTTGGGTGGGGACACAGCCAAACCATATCACATGTCCTTACATGATAAGTGAAGACACAATATTGAAAAAATATATAGATTTTCCACAAATTTATATATAGTTTTTATGTGGTCCAAATTAAAATACCAACAAGGTTTAGTAACTTAACAAATATGCTAAAAGTTTTCTGGAAGAAAGTATATAAAATATATTATCCAAGAAAATTCTGACGGCGTATAGTAATGAAGGGGTTCAAACTCTCCCATACATTATAGCATATTATGAAGTTATCATGATTAAAACAGTTTGATACTATTTTATATTGGAGTTAATTTTAATAAATTACATTGGGGCAACTGGCTAATGCGTTGGGGAAAAAAAGATTTCTTACCTATAACTATTTATATTAATCAACAAATCAGTACAGTCATGGAAGAAAGCACATATATGTTATTATAATCCCAGAGTAATAAAGATATTTCTAAAGCATGTTCAAAACACAAGAAGCCATGAGAGAAAATATTGATAAATATTAGTACTTAAATATTCTTAACTTCTCTATGGCAAAAAAAATTAGAAAATGAACTGAATAAATTCCTATACATCATAAGGCAGAGAATTTTCTTAACATACAAGAAGTTCAGAACAATCAGTGACTGAGGTGAACAACACAGTATAAAAATAGACAAAGTTATAAATATTCACAGGAAGAGAAATATCAATGGTAAATAAAGACAGGAAAATGTATTTACCTTAAGTCACAATTAAAACAACGTAAATCAAAATAAGATACTACTTCTCCCTCATTAATTTCATAACAATAAATTATTTAATATCACAATTGGTGCTGGCAAAAATATAAAAATCTCATAGTGTGTATATTATTGCATCTTTTTTGGTAGAGCATTTTAGCAACATATGTCAATTTTTAAAACTACAGTTTTCTCTGTCTCAAATTTCACTGTTAGGAATTTATTATGAATATCTCAAAATATATGCATTGTAGTAATTTTGAAATAAAGATATTTCTAAGAGGTCTAATAATTATGTACTTATTAAATTGTGGTGCATGTATAATGGAAGACGCAGTGATAAAGAATGATGAATATCCAGTGTACTGGGCAAAGATCACCAAGATATGTTAAGTGAAAACAGCAAGCTGAAGAAGACTCTGAGTACCATACATGGTCCCTTGCATACGGAAATTTTGTAAGGGAGTGGGTGTGTGTATGTGTGGAAGCAATTGTCAAACTTTGGAAAACTACACAAGAAACTGTTACCCTTAATCACCTTTGGGTAATATAGGGAAGGAAGTCAGGCTTTTACTTTTTATTTTGTACTATTCTGTTTCTATAATGCATTGTTTCCTTTTAAATAGAGTAAAGGAAGCAGCAATAGAATTGGGGCTCTTCTTGTTTTCTCACCTCTTTTTTTCATGGAAATAGCTTTATCATCTTATTTTTCTGATATTAAAAAATAATATTCATGAAATCAACCTGTGTCCCTCAATGGATAATTGGATAAAGAAAATGTAGTATATATATATACATGGAATACTATGCAACCATAAAAAAAAGAATGAAATCATGTCTTTGGCAGCAACATGGTTGAACCATGTTGGAGCTGGAGATCATTATCCTACGTGAAATAACTGGGAAACAGAAAATCAAATACTGTACATTCTCACTTATAAATGGGAGCTAATTAATGGTATACATGGACATAAAGATGGAAATAAATAGACACTGGAAATTCCAAAAGGGAGGAAGTTGAGAGGGGGATGAGAGTTGAAAAATTACCTATTGGCATACTCTTCATTATTTGGGTGATAGGTATAGTAGAAGCCAAAACCCCACCATTACACCTTAATATATCCATTTAACAAACCTGCACGTGTAACCCCTGAAACTGTAACAATAAAAAGTAACATTCAGTGATTTATCAAAAACTACTTAGAAAAATACTGTAAGCATAAATAACTAAAGGTATAAAGAAGAAACTTCAAATTCATAGATGATCTTCTTACCACTTAGAGAAAGCCACTAGGGTGAGAACATGTCTTTCAATCATTTGTTAGGTGTATGTATCTATATTCTTCGTCAATGAGATCATATCATGCTTGCTGGTTACTGGGCTTTTTGACATTTGATTTATCTATTGTAAAGCCTATATGTTTATAACTATATCCATATAACTATTTCAAATATGATTTCAAGGCCTATATAGAATTACATTGTAATGGTTGTTTTGTAAAATTTATTTAATTATGAAACCTATTCATGGGCAGTTCTATTTTTTTTTTTTTTGCTAATTTTAACCTCAGTATGATGAATATTCTGTGTGTACATCTTTTTCCACTTGTCTTTTTTTAAAAAATATATACCTATAAGTAAATATATACCAAGAGGTACAATTTCAGGTCAAAGAAAAATGATTGTTTTAATCTTAATATAATTTATTAAATCATTTCACACTGCTAATAAAGATATATCCGAGACTGAGTAATTTATAAAGGAAAGAGGTTTAATTGACAGAGTTCCGCATGGCTGGGGAGGCCTCAGGAAACTTACAATCTTGGCGGGAAGGGAAGCAAACACATTCTTCTTCACATGGGAGCAAGAGAAAGAAGTGTGAGCTGAACGAAGGGGGAAGCCCCCTATAAAACCATCAGATCTTGTGAGAACTTTCTCACTATCACGAGAATAGCAAGAGAAACTGCCCCCATGATTCAATTACCTCCAACTGGGCCCCTGCCACAACACATGGGGATTATGGGAACTACAGTTCAAGATGAGATTTGTGTGGGAACACAGCCAAGCCATATCATAGAATGTCTTTAACAAAACAAAACAAAACTCTTCAGAATACATGTTATTAGACTCTCAACAATGAGAATGCATATCTTTGCCAAGACTTCTGCCAATCTATCTTTTCCCTGATAGCTTTGCATGTCTCCCTGATCATGCTTTAAGTTTAAAATATGTGCATAAATATATTTGGAAACTTTCAATCCTGTTCTCTTTATATGTTTGCTCATTTTTACATTAATGTCACCCTGATTCAGCTACTATAGCTCAAAAACATGTTTTAATTCCCTGCAAAGCTAAGCCTCTCCCTTTTCTCATTTTTTTCTCCGAAAGGTTTATGACTTTTTTAAACGTTATTATCTTTACTGATGGACTTTAAAATTTTTTTATAATATTTTTTAAAAACTGACAGATTTGGTATTTTGATTTGGGAGAATTTACAGCTTCATGACACTGACTGTGTCCATTTTTGGGGGTCTTTTGTTTCTCAGTGTAATTTCATAATTTGCCTCACATAAGTCCTGCATTCTACATTAAGTTATTCTTCTGGTCTGATGTATTCTATTGTAGCTTATTTGTATTATAGTATATCATTGGCTATATTGCTATATATAAAAAATTAATTTTTCTTTACTGATTGTATTAGTCCACTTTCATGGTGCTGATAAAGACATACCTGAGGCTGGAAGAAAAAGAGGTTTAATGGACTTACAGTTCCACATGGCTGGGGAGGCCTCACAATCATGGTGGAAGGCAAGGAGGAGCAAGTCATGTCTTACATGGATGGCAGCAGGCAAAGAGAGAGTGTGCAGGGGAACTCCTCTTTTTAAAACCATCAGATCTTGTGAGACTTATTTACTGCCGTGAGAACAGCACAAGAAAGACCGAGCCGCAAGATTCAATTACCTCCCACCAGGTCCCTCCCACAACACATGGGAATTATGGGAGTTACAATTCAAAGTGAGATTTGGGTGAGGACACAGCCAAACCATATCTGATGTTCAGCTGTCTATCTCATGAACTTTTATTGGTTCTAGTGTATCTAATTTTGTTTCAGTTGATTATTTTAGTTTTTTCAGATAGACAGTAATATCCTCTCCAAGTAATATTGATTTTTTTTTTGTATTCTTGGGCAATGCTTTCAAATATTCTTCCAAATTACTAAATGATTTTCTTTTCTTTTAAACTTAAATACATATATATTTATATATTTCTTGAGTAGGAAACGGTCCTGGCTTTGGTTTTAGCAAACATTCATATATGTCTAGACATATCTAGAGACTTGATGGGTTGAACTCCCTAGAAGCTCAAATTCTGAGTACCAATGACCTTGACCATGGCCATTGAAAAGAGGCATAATTTGAGTACATAATGATACCTGCTATTTGGATATCTTGCCTTGCAACCCACTGGGTTTATGTCTGCTTCTAGGAAGAATAGTGGGTAAGCTTATTTTATTTTTAACCAAAACTATAAAAACATTGCTGCATAACCATCATTACTTCAGATCCCTCTAGCAAAGTGTAGTGCAGGGTGTAGAAAGTCTACCTCTTTCATAGTACAGTAGACCCCTGGAGAAAAAGGGCACTATCAGATCTTTGATGTGTCAGTGGTGGTTCCAAAGAGGAATACCAGTGCCCAGTGGGAAGTGAATTATTCCCAGTGAAACAAGAATAGTGTCATTGGGAACAAGTGCTCAGTATAGTACCTAAAACTCAGTGTTTAGTGGATGAATAAACTGATGTTGGCATGTCACAGAGTCCCACTTATTATGGGTTTTTTATTCAATTATCTTTGAAAATTTCAGTTTTCATTGTATATATTTTAACACTATGTTAATTATCAGATGAAAGTTCTTCATGAGCAAACCTTTTATCAATATTAAAAATTGCCCCCATTATCCTATTTGATGTTGTTTTTACCTTTGAAATTCGCTTTGTCTAATACTAGCATTGCTACTTCTTAGTTATTTTTGTTTTCTTCAGTATATTTTTGTTAACCCTTTGATTTTTTTCCTGTTTGGGGTCATTTAATTTTTGCGTGTCTTTTAAGTAGCATATTGTTAGATTTTTGTGGTTTAACATAATATGAGAGTCATTTTCTTTTACCAAAGTAGTTTAACATTTACATTATCAATACCTCCATCATCATTAGTCTCCTTTACCTTCTATTATGTTATTCTTTCCTTGTGATTTCTTTTCTACTCTATTTTTATTCTATTGGCTACTTTGGTATATTCCCAGTTTAATGATTTAAAAGGTATCAATACTTCTTTTAACTTTATTAATAGTTAGCTCAAAGTTTTAAAAAATGTAAATTTAAACTGCTATTAAAATAACTGTGGGCCAGGCGCAGTGGCTCACACCTGTAATCCCAGCACTTTGGGAGGCCCAGGCAGGCAGATCACCTGAGTTCAGGAGTTCGAGACCAGCCTGACCAATATGGAGAAACCCTGTCTCTACTAAAAATACAAAAAATTAGCTGGGTGTGGCGGCACATGCCTGTAATCCCAGTTACTCGGGAGGCTGAGGCAGGAGACTCGCTTGAACCCAGGAGGCGGAGGTTGTGGGTGAGCTGAGATCACGCCATTGCACTCCAGCCAGGGCAGCAAGAGCAAACCTCCGTCTCAAAATAAATAAGTAAATAAATAACTATGAAAGCCGGCAGAAATAAATAAGTGTATGAGTAAATATTGTAGAAATGGTACAGATTTATCCCCTTCTTTCCTAGTTCTAGTTCATTCAACCTAAATTTATGCACCATGTAATTTTCTTTTTGCTTTTAAAAAATTATTCCACATTAGGAAGAGTCTTTTTCACTGGATGAATAAAATAACTGGTAAATATTACAAATGCATTTAAGGCAATTACCTGGTCATGTATCTATTTTACCTTTGCTTTGTTGCTATGGTTGTGATTGTTTTGCTTTGGTTTTGTGTTCATTTATTGAGTTGTGGCTATTTGTCAGGCATGAGCTACTTGTGTTTCACATATTTTATCTTGTTCAAGCATCACAAAAGCGCCTGTGGAGTAATAATCGCTATTCCCATTTTAGTATTGGAAAAACTGAAGCTCATAGAGATTCAATACATCACCCAAGGTCCTAAAACTATGAGTGTGTGGAACCAGAGTTTGAGCACAAGTCTGTGCCTAACTTCCACATCCTTCTACACCGTACTTGGTAGCCTCCACTAACACCTGCTGAACGTACACAACATTCTGTCTATGTGCTCTGAAATTGGGGATTCCCAAGGAGTTCTTTCTGTTTGATATTCTTTTCATGATGTTTACCTGAAAACATGATATTCCCTCACAATTGTAAGCCCCAGATCCCTTCTGTGCCATTGTCTTCAATCGCATGCTCCCCTTACTGCTTCTGTTCTCCCTGTTCATACTCTCTGGGATTCCCTCAATGGTCTCTCATCATTTATCTCATTTTCATCTACAAGAATTCCTCACATTTGCTCTTTCTCTAATTCACCACTTTGATTTGATACAATGTCCAATTTCCTGTTTTCTGGTCTTACTGAGTTTTTAATTGGACAAGTTGGATTCCCATTTCCATGCAATTCTCCATAGTCTTTGTGAGTTTCTTTCTTAATGTCATCACGGTTGCAGCATCTGCTTTGATCTTGTTGAGAACACACATTTTCTACTGATTCCAGTAAATGTATTTCTATTGGAGGCCATTGTTCTAGTTTTCAAGGGTGTCTTGCTTTTTGTTTTGTTTAAATCTGTAGTATATATTTAACAGGCCTTGCTTTTTTTTTTCTCCCCTTGTTTTCTCTTTCTTAGAAAGATAAAATGGAGTGTTTGTACTATTAGTTTTTAGCCGAGTAGGAGTTAGGCTGGCTGCTGTCAAAGATTTGTGTCACTGTCTGAGTCTTTAAGCTCTGGAACAAATTGAGGATAAAAATAATATATAAAACAAATTTTAATCTCTGTTGCAGCTCAAGCAGCCTCAGCAAAGTGTTAGTGACAGAGCTAGGCCGAAGGGAGCTCCGACCCCCTGCTAAGTGGTAGGCTGCTCACAACAGACACAAACCTCAGCGTGTCCAGCCTTCTGTAGGGTCTGGAATCAATACCAGAGAGAAAACCTGGAGCTGTGCCATCGCCACTGGAGTCAGGTGGCCTGGCAGTGTGCAGATGTGACAAGTGGGCATGCCACCTTGCCTTCGGCACTCTCCCAGCTGAGATTTAGTGTTGGGGCTTGCTGCCTCCATCTCTTCTGTTTCCTTCCAGGCATGCCTTTTGTTCCCAGACAGGGGCCACACACTAGTCCTCTCAACAGCTTCAGTATAGTGGAGTGTAAGCTTTTGTTAGCAGAAGTTACTTGAAATTCCTACCATGTAGTTGACACCCTTGTTTCCATAGCTGGTGAAAATTTTTCATCACTTGTATTTTCCATTGATTCTTTCTCTTTTATTTTTATTGTATTTTATCTATTTATTTATTTATTTATTTGAGATGGAGTCTCGCTCTGTTGCCAGGCTGGAGTACAGTGGCGCCATCTTGGCTCACTGCAACAACTGACTCCCTGATTCAAGCAGTTCTCCTGCCTCAGTCTCCTGAGTAGCTGGGATTATAGGCATGCGCAACCATGCCCAGCTAATTTTTGTATTTTCAGTAGAGACAGGGTTTCACCATGTTGGCCAGGATGGTCTCGATCCCCTGACCTCGTGATCTGCTTGCCTTGGCCTCCCAAAGTGCTGGGATTACAGGCATGAACCACCGTGCCTGACCTTCCATTGATTATTTCAATAGGCCAGGGAGGATAGATCATTCTGTCTTGAACATCAATGGGATTCCTCTCCATTAATTCTTAATTTCCCCTTCTTTTTCATTTCATTGGCATCAAAAATAGAATAGTTTCAGTATCTTCATTCCTTCCCTTTGCCCTTCACTTATTGGCATCCACTTGACAAATCTCCTGTCTTAGTAGAGAGATTGACATTCTTTCCTCACATTGAAAACACCCTGGGAATTTTCCTCAAATAATTTATGAAATTGTATTTAAAATAAAATAAGTTACCATCTGATTTATGTTTCACTGTTTGGATGCCCCTAAAGTTCCTTTTAGTTTAAATTTATATCTTGTATTTTAGCATCTTTAAGTAATTGCATCTACATTTGATGAAATGTGGATGAAGCTTATATTTATTAGATTGCAAATTATTATGCAGTGTGCAATTTTGATTAGCAAAATGCATCATAGTGTTGTTATGGATTAATAAGGGGGAAAATGTTTGGTATTACCCAAGAGAAATGAGATGAAAATTTTAGTCCACAAAAATAATGAAAACAAATGGCTTGATTGTCCTATATGCTAAACCACAAAAAGAATTATTGCTAACATCTTTCTACCACCTGGCTCTTGAGAATACTTGAATGGTACTTTAGTATTTTCCCTCAGAATATGCAATTTATTGCTGACTAAACCATTTGTACCATTTTCCCATTAGCTGCATTGAACGCATATTTATTCAAATATATTTTATGTATATTTGGCTATGGATGTGAACATATACATAAAAGAATATAAAAATCATGTCCCTAAGCATGACTTAATATAATGTGGGCTTGGTGAGTTAGAAGTGGGGTTAGGGATATTGCTAGGAGTTCAGCAGGACAGTAACTGAGTTATAAGATAATTATTCCTCTTCAATGGCTCTCACCATGACAACTCAGTTCTGAAATTCAACTATTATTCAGCTCAAATTATTGTCAAAGTTTAAAGCTTGAATTTTATTGACCTCCTTCTGATGTCTATGACATCTAATCATCTGGGTATAAGAAGCCAGATTGTTAACAGCAAGAGCAGCTTAAACGATTCTTACTGAACACACCTGGACAGGTCCTTTGTGAAGCCCAAACTATGATTCGGTCTCTGGGCTCTGTTATACATCCATAACCACTTGGGGAAGAAATTGAACATGGCATTCCCATCTTCCTTACTATGAAGCTGCAAGTCTTTCACAGCCCAAATATTCCAGTTTGTTTTATAGTCAATATAGGCGGTCTTGTGACTCAAATGGCAAATCTCTGCTCAACTTTTAGATGGAGAAGCGGAGGAGGAAGAGGAACAGAAATAAAAAAGGAAGAATGAAGAGAAAAATATAGAAAAAAAAATCATTAGTATCAGTAACTTCCAATAAGATTGTTCAGAATTTGCCTTAAGATCATGTGGGCAAGTATACTATCCAACTAACCCATTGTCTGACTTTGAGCCATCTCTACACATAAAAGGAAAACATTGCTTTTCAGTGTCAAGTTGAAAGGAAGCATTGCACCTCACCACTGAAACTGGTGAGTAGCATTCAGCTAGTGTATTAATTTGTTACCGTATCAAAAATGCCAAGTCTGGGTGACTTAAACAACAGAGATGTACAGTTCTGGAGGCTGGAAGTCCAAGATTGCAGTGTCAGCAGGATGAATTTCTTCTGAGGCCTCTCTCCTTGGCTTGCAAATGCTGCCTTGTCACTGTGTTCTAGCATGTAGGTGTCCCTCAGGCTGTGTGTTTCTGTGTCCTAATCTCCTCTTCTTACAAGGATGCCACTCATATTTGATTAAGGTCTATCCATATGACTTCATTTTACCTTAATTTAAATTTACCTTTTTAAAGATCCTGTTTCCAGATATAGTCACTTTCTGAGATACGGGGGTTGGGACTTCAACATCTGAATTTAGGTATGAAGACACAATTCAGCCCATAACAGCTATTAAAGGAGCTAAAAATAATTTTATTCAACAGGGCATTTTTTGTGTCTACTATTACAAAAAAATACTATTGACTATACAGAAATACACAGACTGCATCTTTGCTTCAATAAATTTATAGACTCTTGGGTGAAATCAGCTACATAGGGGAAAGGTGAATAATTGGAGTATCCAAATGGGTGCTGAGGGCTATGAAGTTACTCAGATCCTTCCTGGGTAAATAATGCCCTCCCTCTGCCCACAGGGAGCTTACTATCTAGAAAGAGGGAATCAGTTCCTAGATAACAAATTAAAACTTAGCCTGCCAATTACTCTAGATGTGTGAGCAAAATATGGTACAAACTCACTGGAGGGAGCGATTTCTTCTGAGTTGTTGATGGAAGAAGGAGGAGGACTTTTCTCAGGAAAGCCTTGCTGAGAAGGAGATGGGACAAATGGCCTATTTACCAAGGAAAAGTCAAATCAAGCACCTCTTTCGGGGGCAGCATGGAGATAATGATCAGAGTGTGGGCATGTTCACAGCGCCGTCATGTATAGCGCTTCAGTGTTTAGGAACTGGGAATACAGATCTTGAGATCAGAGGAGATGTACTTGGCATAAAACATTTTGATTGTGGAATGACAGGCATAGAGCAGGACATGGGTGAAGTGGAAGCTATGGGCAAGAATGAAGAGAGTATAACAAAGAATAGTACAGAGAGCAGAACTTCGATGAACATCTGTATGTTTAAGGGTCAAGAGGAGCCAGTGAAAGGGACTCATCAGAAGTAGAGATGCAGGAAGAAAGGCAGGAGGACAGAGCACAGCCCACACCACAGGAAGCCGTTTAAAGGTCAGGAGAGTAATCACACAGGAAGTGGGTGGATTGTAGACTGCAAGCAACTGTAGTTGTTTGTTGTTTAGGGGCCAGATGTTTCCAAAAGGGTAAACAGGTTCCAGACCAAAGAGAGACAATAGCTTTGGTAACTAGGAAGCTGCTGGTGGAATGCAGACCAGGTTTCAGAGGAACAGCCAGCAAGAAGCCAGATTGGAGAGGGGTGAGAAGTGAATGGCCCCAGTGATTTGGAGGGAGCAAGGTCAAGGCTTGTAAATAGCAGCACTGAAAGGAAGAAGGTGAGTGCCCAGCAGAGTAGGGATCAATGAGGCAAGAAGAGAGGGGTCAAAAGCAGGAGTTGGTGATCTCCAACATAGCTGGGCTCTACGTAAGAACTGCTAAATATGTCATTCCAATCAGTCCTGCCAACAGCTTGTTACCCTATTTGACCATGAGGAAACTGAAGCTCAGTCATGTCCAAGCTTAGATCATTGATAAATAGACAAATTGAGACTCTAAGCAAGTAGATGTCAATGTTTTGTTTCTTTTTCTGGTGGCATTTCAATTAACTAGAAGAAAAAATAATTCAAATATTAGAAGCCAAAACCTTCTGAAACTTGGGATACGCCACTTCACAGGACAGTTACGGAAGGAGCATAGGAGAGGGGGATGACCTGACATCTGGGAAAAACTACTTTATCAGCTTTCATGTGCATTTATTGTGAATGTGAAAGTGCCCAGCAATCTGAGGTTACAGCCACCTAACTTATGTGACATGCAGTGTCCAGGGCAGGCTCATGGTCCTGGAGGGTGCCTTTTGGGTTCCTGGCATGTGCTGCTGGAGATCCTGATGCTATAGATCTTCCCAAGTAATTCCCTGATGCTGGGTTAGGAGTTGATAGAACAAAAGCACATTCTCTTTGTACTGCATCCTCTTTATCTGCCACCTGGTCAGGCAGCATGGAGCAGCTAAGGGACTGGACTCTGCAGTCAGACTGGCTGCATTTGGGTCTTGGTTCTGCCACTTACCAACTATGTGATATGTGACACTGGGCAAGTGACTTAACCCCTCTGTGCCTCCATTTTCTTATCTAGTGGGGATAGTTCCGTGTAAGAAGGATGTTATAATAATTAAATCTATGAGTGTTTGTCAAAGGCTAGCGCATTTATTAAATAAATCTGAAACTAATAAAGGTCCAACCAACTTCTGTACTTACTACTTGGCAGAATAAGAATATGAAATAAGAATACATTTTAATCATTTACAAATTAATATATACGTGTGTGTGTGTGTGTATATATATATACCTACAGAATTTTATATATATTTAAATATATATATATATATATATATATATATATATATATATATATATATATATATATACACCATTAACTACATACAGAATTTTGTTCAGTGCTAAGCAGGGGATATTTATTCCCATTTTTATATGAGGACACTCAGGCCAAAGTGGTCAGACAATGTGCCCTTGAAGCCTCATATGTCCTTGGAGGAGCAGGGCTAAAAAGCCTCCTGATTCCTCTTCCAGGGTTTGTCAGCTTAGAGGATAGCTTCAAAACCTCTCTGCCGCTTCCTGCTCAACTGGCGGCTTCTGACTGTGATATCTAACCCACCAGATGGTAGGTCCTCTAACAAAGTATAAATGCTTGAAACAGTGTGATAGGCAGAATAAATGCTCCCAAAGATGTCCACATTCTGGTCCCCAGAACCTGTGACTGTTTTACCTTACATGGCAAAAGGGGTTTTGTAGATGTGAAAAGTTAAGGATGTTGACA
This sequence comes from Homo sapiens, assembly GCF_000001405.40. Classification (NCBI taxonomy): domain Eukaryota; kingdom Metazoa; phylum Chordata; class Mammalia; order Primates; family Hominidae; genus Homo; species Homo sapiens. Next base: position 21,426,050 of record NC_000002.12, on the reverse strand, counting down.
TGGGGAGTATAGATGGGGAGTATTATGACATCAACTGGTCCACTACAGTTCAATTCGGGCACTAACAACCTGGAGTTATGGCAGTATTATGACATCAACTGGTCCACTACAATTCAGTTCTGCCACTAACAACCTGGAGTTAGGGCAGTATTATGACATCAACTGGTAGACTACAATTGAATTCTGCCACTAACAACCTGGAGTTAGGACAGTAATTCTGTCACTTACAACGCGGGGAATATTATGACATCAACTGGTCCACTACAATTCAGTTCTGCCACTAACAACCTGGAGTTAGGGCAGTATTATGACATCAACTGGTAGACTACAATTGAATTCTGCCACTAACAACCTGGAGTTAGGACAGTAATTCTGTCACTAACAACGCGGGGAATATTATGACATCAACTGGTAGACTACAATTCAATTCTGCCACTAACAACCCGGAGTTAGGGCAGACCCCACAACTTAAAGGGCGTGGTCCACAAGAAGACAAAAGAAGACTGCCCTCAGTTCAGACTAACTGGCTACAAATCCAGGGGCATCCATGACCCCCCTCAAATTTGATAATTTACTAGAGTAACTCAAAGAACTCAGCAAAGCACTATATTTGCAATTACAGTTTTATTAAACTATAAAGTTTTATGGGTTTTATTAAACCCAATTCAGACTTCTGACCTCCAGAACAATAAGAAAGCAAATTTATGCTCTTTGAAGCCACTTAAGTTTGTGGTAATCTGTTACAGCAGCCTTGAGAGACTAATACCAGCAGAATCACACAGGGATGAGGAGAACCAGCAGAATCACACAGGGATGAGGAGAACCAGCAGAATCACGCAGGGGTCAGGAGAACCAGCAGAATCATGCAGGGGTCAGGAAAATAGGCACTGGCACCACACTTGCTATGGTGTGCTATGAAGGCTTTCAATTCTGATTTCTCCACTCACCGGTTGTGTGGCCTCAGGCAAATGTAATGTTCTTTCTGTTCCTTTATATCCCCAAGTATTACCTAAGATTTTGCACACTGTTTTTACCCATAAAATGCTTAAAACAGTAACTAAAACTTAATAGTCACTATTATTTGGTGTACAATGTTTGAAATGTATGAAACTCCTCAGGTGAAAACAGTAATGACATTAGCCAACTCTTCTTGGGAATTGGCTTGATTAATGTCTCCCCGGCCCTTTGGTCGCCTAAACATCTATTCTGCTGCTGGAATCTTGATTCTTGGTCATTATTTAAAATCTCTCTCTCAATATCTCTCTCTTTACTATTTTCTCCCTTTCTCTCTCTCTTTGTCTGAAGGCAGTTTAAACAAATCACTGAATGCACCAAATCCCTCCGTGCTCTTAAGCCCTGACCTCCTGCCATGCTGGCTTCATTTCTCAGAGGTGACCCATACATGTCCTTTCCCTGTCCCTGCAGTGTGCTCCGCACTGCACTAATCCAGGCTGCAGCCCTGTGATGTCAGGGGTGGCTGAATGCCCTGGCCCATAGCCCTCAGCCTCTGGGTGTCCTAAGCCTTTCAGCAGTTGCCAGCATGGCCAGAATTTTCCATAAGTGGGTTTTGATGTTGTCAGCCACCTCTTGGTGTTGCACATCCACGGGAGTAATGAGGATCTACTACGGTGACTTCAGGTGAAACTGAGCTTCAGCAAGCCCTAGAAATCTGGAGAGGAAGGTGCCTTAAAGGTCACCTCGTCCAGCCACCTCAATTTATAAGTAAAGAACAAGAAAAGTCTGGAAGGAAACGGGCTTAAGATACCAAAAAGTGTATGGACTAATTCACACATGGGCACTGGTTTCATCTTTATTTTGTCAACTGCCCCTGCTTCGAGCTTGACAAGATAGCATCACTAAGCCTGCCAAAGGGTTGTTTTGATGAACGACTTTAGGCTCATGGACTGTGGAGGCAGCAGGGCTGGGACAGATTCTTGATAGCCATGCCTAATGTGTTATTCTGGCCCTCAGACCATGAATGACTCAGAGAAATAGGCAGCAGCCTGATCAAAGGCCACAGCCAGGATGTGGTAAAGTGAGGAACACACTTTTGGCTGTAGAGTCTCAACTAGGGAAGAACAAATGCTAACTACCGAGAAATAAAATCTTCGGTTCCTACACTTGATTTCGATGATGGGACACATTTGAGGGCAGCTGCTGCATGAGTTACTGAGCATGGCTTAGTGATATAAAATGGTAAGGCAGCACACTGCTCTCAGCCTGGTGCCCTGAAAGGAGCAAGTTTGTCTCTCTCCAGACACCTGGTGAACAGGTAGGTGTATTTTCAGCAGGATCGATCTGTTAAGACTGCAGGGACAATGACTAACAACTTCCCAGAGTGTCTCTGTCAGTCACACTGATGAAGACACTGAGGTATACTGAGACCAGCTGTGTCACACTGTCCTTACAGACCCTCCCCCCAGCTTCCCATTGACCACAGGATATATTGAAACAAGGTGTGGTCACACCCTCCTTATGGACCCCCCCACTTGACTTCCCATGGACTGCAGGATAAAGTCAAAACAACTTGTTAGGGCTCCAAGGCTCTTCTGAATTGCTTTTCAACTTTCTCTCCCAGCATTACCTCTGTGCACCTTCCCATCAACAATCGCAAATGTCTGGCTGGCCACAAAACCAGAACTTCTGACTTTCAAGGGCATTCTCCCATGCTAACATGCTATCCTGGAGTGCCCTCCAAAGACCAGATTGCCCTTTTCTTCACTGACTTTATATAGACCCATTTATCCTTTGTGAACAAGCTCAAATGTAACCTCCTCCTAGAAGCCTTTCCTGACCTCTTGAGGCAGTCAGTCTTCCCTCTGCCATGTTTCCACAACATAAACTCTCTGTTTATTACCCGTTTGACCACTTACCTCATTGCACTGGGATAGTGTTTATATAACCTTTTGAGCTCCCAAAGGGCAGAGAACACACTTTGTTTTTTCCCTTCGTAACCCCAGTTCCGAGCACAGGGTGGGCCCCGATCCATGTTTACCAAATGGATAAATGAGCAGCAGAAACTAATGTTTATTGACTAGTGGTCACATGCTGTGCTAAGTGTTGTGCACATAGTGTCTCTGTTACCATGTGAACGCTTTATCTGGGTCATTCTGCATGCACAAGGTGAGCCTGGACTGCAAAGCCACGCTGCATTTCTCCTGCTCCTTTCCCAGGAGCACTGAGAAGGAGAGACATGAATATGGTAGAACATCATTACCCAATTCTGAAAACTCATGAAATCTCCCTGTGGATCTAAGCATGTCTTAGTCTATTTGGGCTGCTGTAACAAAACACCATACAGTGGTTCACTTAAAAAAAAGATAAACTTATTCCCCACAGTTTTGGAGACTGGTAAGTCCAAAGTCAAGGTGCCAGCAGATTTGGCGTCTATTTGGTGTCTGGTAAGGCCCCGCTTCCTGTTTCATAGATGTACCCGCTGTCTGTGTCTTCACAGGGTGGAAGTGGCAAGGGAGCTCTCTGGGGCCCCTTTTATAAGGGCACTAATTCCATTCATGAGGGTGCCACCCTCTTAACCTAATCACTTCCCCAAAGCCCCACCTCCTAATATCATCACATTGAAGGTTAGATTTCAACATAGGAATTTTGAGGGCGACAGCAACCTTCAGACTCCAGCAATATGAATGGACTAGATGGCTATGACCTCTTCCAGACCCCTTATTTCCCTGAGGCAGGTCTTTGTCAGTCAAAATTCATCCTTACACCACCAGAGCCAGCTAAGGGCAGCTCCCTCCTTCTTCTCCTCTCCCTGCAGATGCCCTTGCTCCCAGCTCTGGCGCCCCCTCCTGGCTGCAGCCTGACTCCTAGCTTGGTGGGCACTTATATGGGCATTTCACTTCCCTGATAGCTATCCAAGCTTCATCCTGTTGTTTTCATTTCCAGTTGCCAGCTGCTCCCTTCCTGCTTAAGGCTATGCATTTGTTTATTTTCATATTTGTTTCCTGATTCACTCACCTACCTAGAAGTCAAAGTTTACTATTTTATTTATTGTTAGAATAAATAACCCAAACTGAGGCACAGGTAAACATTCTATAAAATCTAAAAGATCCAAGTAGGATGCCCAGCACACACATCACCGGAAAGACATTGCTAGACATTTTCATTCTTCTGAGGGCTGAAGTAAAAGCAAAACCTACCCAGGGGCTACGCTCAGGCCAGAAAGTTATATTCTCATCCAACTAGCAGCTCCAGGTACCTGACGGGCTCTCCAGTTACACTGTGTGCTCACGCACGTCTGGAAATTCAACTGGCCTCAAAATTGCTGCTCTGAAATCTCCATCGTCATTTTAAATAGGAGATTAAGAGATTTAATGTTGTTGAAACTCTTTTATACAAAGAATCTTGAATGACATATTTAAATAAGTAGAAAACTGCCTTGGTTTCCATTCCCACAGCCAGGAGCTTGGGGAAGGATGAGGAGATGGGCAGCCAAGGTCTGCTCAGAGCTGATTGACAGCTGTGACTGTATCTGAGGACAGCCAGGTACTGCAGGCAGACAGCGGAGCTGCCAAGCTCATTGATTTTTGTAATAGGTCACTCCCACCCAAGCTCCTTCTTCTTCTTCCTATGAACATAGAGGTCCAGGGCAAAAGGGAGGCCTGCATTATATTTCAGCGAGCGCTACCTGAATCCATATAAGCCTATGATTCTGGCTAAAACTCAATAATTCACTGAACTGGCATCCTTTTAGCATCTCTGCAGTCAATGCCTCTCAAAGAATAGTGCTACAATTGAACTAGAAAATTAGAGCTTTTAGGTGGACTCCCCAGAGGTGCCTATGTAAAACAGAATTAAAAAATGATTGTCATTTCAGTTCGGGGCATAGAATTAATTATGGCCATAGAGAGAGCGCTGAGTCCAATGGGAAGGGCCACCAAGGGTCACTAGTCACCATCACTTCCCAGCAATGAGGTCAGCAATGGAAGAAGCATGTCTCTTTTTTTACTCGGAGTATCTATGTGATATATCTGTTGTTGTACATAACCTTTATAGAACCCACCGACAAGAAAATTATTTCCCAATGCACGTTTCTTGTTTTTTTGTGGGTTTTTTTCTTTTTCTTTTTTTCTCTCTGCTGAAAAATTCAAAAGCCAAGCCTCAGGCAGTGGAAACGCGCAATTATTAGGCCATGAGCATGACAAACACCTTTTTCCAGGCAGAGAGTGGGGCAAGAGAGGAGTTCCAGAACCCTGGAGGAGGCATAGTAAGCAAGGCAGAGACTGTGAGAGTTTTTCTAGGAGGTTCTCTTTGACCAGCGCAATTAGGTCACTGAAAGATCATCAGTCCAGACTCCTTTCATGCAGAGAAAACCTCAGGGCCTCAGCATCAGCAATGGTGATGCATCCTGAGAGCTTGTGGGAGTGTGTGTCCATGGGTGTGTCAGCTTAAGGGCTTGGAGCTACTGGTGCAAACACAGAGCTACTCAAAATGTGGCCTTTAGCATAGACGTCAGCTAGAAGAAATCCTCGGGCTCCAGCTTAGACCCATTGGATCAGAACCTTTATTTTAGCAAGATCACTGGGCAATTCCTATGCACAGTAAAGCATGGTTTAACCCAGGTTTAGAGCTCTGTGTCCTGGTCTTTGAGAGACATTTTACAGCTCCCTAGTATTAGCCCTTTTCAAGGAAGGAGAGAGAGAGAGAGAGATCCCCTGCACCACTCCACGCATCAATTACTGTGTATGCATTATGAAGGCAGGCCTCCATTCTCCTGGGCTTTGTGTTTGGCATAAATGACCTGAACACAGGATCCATATGAACACAGAACTGTAGTTTATAGGCCAGTGTCTTAGGGAGAAGGTGATCGCTATCGCCCAGCCCAACAAGAATGGCTTCCTAGGAAAGAGGCTTGACCTGTAACTGAGAGTGAAAGAAGAGGGTGGGTAGCAGTTTATAGAGGGAAGCTCCTAAATGGGAAGATCTGGAGTATCATTTGCAGGAGAGGCTGTGTGTGTAGGGAGGGCCCTGCAGTGGGTGGTGGGTGAAAGTCTCTCCAGGGAAGCACTGGGAAGGAGAGGCATACATACTTCTCACCTCCAGTCTTTGTATTTTCCTTCCTCTCAGACCCTTGTTCTGACCCCACCCCAGCCCCACCCCTGTCCTTGTCCCTTCCCCTGCCGCAGGCAACATCCCAGACTCTACCCCTGCCCTGAGCCACACCCCTATCCCAGGCCCTACCCCTGCTCCCCCACTTCCCAGGAACCAAAGCTCCCACCACCACAGCCCAATGTTATCCTCTGTTTAGTGATCTACTACCCCACTTAGACTCTAACAATCCCTACACCTCTCAGAGCCCAACATAGCCCCATCCCTCTCCTGAGGGACAGCAGTCCTGAGTTAGGGAAAAGTTATGGGTAGGCCTGTTTAAAAACAAGAATGTCTTCCAGAGGCATCCCAAGTCTCCTCTCTTTTTGCCAGCACTCTGCCACCCGCTTCCCCTTCTTAAGCTCATAAATGCTACTGAGGTTAAATTGAAGGAAAGGCTAGGCACAGCAAAGAAGGTGGAGGAGTTCAAGTTGACTCTGCTTGCCCAAACTTTGGAGAAATAGGGTCCCTGAGAAGAGGAGAATGCTCCTGCCCAGAAGAAGACTGTCTACAAAGGAGAATGGCCTCTGGATTCATCAGCTGTTTGAAATACTATATACTCGGGGCTGGACAGTTATCATTACAAACTTGTATATAACGAAATGAAATGAATATGCTCATTACTTTCTAAAGTCTGGATGCTCTGGACAGCCTGGAGTTGCAGAAAACAAAGAACACTTGGGGTCAGGCAGACCTGGGTTTAAGTCCCAGCTTCACCCTCTTGTTTTGGGAACTCAGGGAGATTACTGAACCTCTCTTTGCCCTAAACTTCTCTTTTGTAAAATGGAGAGTAATACTGGTAATCTTATAAGGTTACTTTGACGAACAAAATAATCATATAAATTATCTGCCACATCAGAAAGTTGGGTGGATTTTTAATTTAATTTATTATAGCAAAAGGATAATACCTTCAAACATATTTACTATACATCAGAAGTTGTTTTCTAGCTTAAATAGTTTTAAAATATCTAAAGGCTAAAATTTGAACTTGAGCCTTTATTGGTTGGATAGTAGAAATAATGGCTAACAACAATTTCATATTTTGGAGAAGGATTAACTAAGATAATATTTTATCAATATAAAATTGACAAAAAGTAGGGAAGTCAGGATAATCTGATTGAGAGGGGAGAAGAGATGTGACCAGACTGTTGTGACACTGTGTTTGTGAAATACCTCTAGCACAATAAGAACCAAAGGAAATCCAATATTAACATCATGAAACAGCAATAACATTGTTAATCTTCCTTTCTTTGCACGTCTATTATCAAAGTTAGTCATCTGGCTTACGGTCAATAACACATTAAAGTATTTGCTGATTTCAACTGCTTGGTACTAAGTATAGTTCTTGTGTAATGCAAACGTAATTTTTGAAATGCAAACATATGTTCATTTACCCGTAATCCTGAATTCATTAAACTAGAATCTACCTGCTTATACTGGCATCTTTGGGAATCAAATCTTACACTTTTTAAACTTAGATAAATAATTTCCCAGCTACAGTATTTAGACTTGTGCCACAATCAATTCATAGGCTAAATATTTACAATGAACTGTATGTTTTGCAATAAATGATTAAGAACTACTAAAAATCAACCATTGTGTTTGTGCGTTCACAAAAAGAAAAAAGAGTGACAGTTGAAAAGTGTATTTTGAAAAATGTATATTTCTCAAAAACAATCCATAGTTCAAACCTCATTCTTTACTGACTTAAGTTTCATGTCAAGAAATGTCATATCAAGAAAGTCTAATTTTGGAAAGTTTTCACCTGAGGGGAAAACAGGGTCGGTCTGAAAGGAAGTGCAGATGCATTTTCTGCTATAGTGTTCACCGTTGCCACCATGACAGCAACATGTTGGAATTTCAGAAGAGGATAAACACAGAAAGAGGACATGCAAACAAATGCATCTAAGGGTTTCTTCAAATCAACTCTATGTCACCAGCATTCCTTCGCTGGAGGGGCACAAGGAGGCAGACAGACGCTCTCAGCCTGAATACTGAAAAGGAAGTCCTTCTAATGGAGCTTGCTGACTTATACTCCCGTGTTCACATATGGCTATCTCAAGGGGGTGATATCTCCTAAGGGAGGAACCCATTCTCTTCTTAATAAATCCTGTGCTTTATGCATAAAAATCAACACCTTCCAAAGGGGCTCTGTTCTACACTCTGTGATGCCTTGGGGTGAAATGACTCTCTAGTGGATAGGAAAAAAGGATATTGAAGAATATCTCTGGGAGATTTTTGGCAACCCATTTAGAACATGCCAACCACAAATATTCATTGAACACCTAGTGTCTAAAATGGAGCTTTGAGCTGTAAGGAGACAAAGAATCAGAATGCCCACTGCCCAGAGGGCTCTTGCAAACTAGTCGCTGATAGATTCTTTCTCTTTAAAATTGTATAATCAAAGAGAATTTTTAGGTATTTTGTCAAGTGAGCTGAGTAATTGCATCTTTGTTCAAATATAATAGGCTATTCCATTAGCCACCTTTGCAAGGAAAAATAACTTAATAATAATTGTCTCCACTTATTAAGCATCTGCCATCATAGTTCCTGGAAAAGAGTATCGTGATATCATTTAAATTAAATTCTGGTATTTTCATCAGAGGTTTGTGGGGTATTTTTAGGGGGGTGAAGTGTATATGTTGGTTGGTTTTCAGACAAGATCAGTAAGAAAACCTAAAAGAAGCCCCTTACCACCACCAACAACAAGGCAATTAGTCCCGGCTGGGTTTTAAGACATTTTGGCCAGCCCTGAGCAAAGTAGAAGATGTATCCTCAAAGATATTCCACCAAGAAGGCTTGGACACCCATGCTGAGCTCCACATCATGTACTTGTTCTGAAGGTTTCTGACCTTCCACCCATCTCTTGTGGTTTTGTTCTAAAATCCACATGCTATTACTGGGCCAGGACAGGCTTCAAAGATTATCTTGGGAATGGGTTTTTCCAGGGACATAGAGTAGCAGTTGATAAAGACTCCAGTGGTTGCTATGCACAGAAAACTCTGATTTTACTCACCACCCCCACTGCCTGGGACACCCTCATTTACAAGTCTGAAGGATAGGGTATCATTGAGCAAGAATCACTGCTTTTTTCTATTTGTGTTTTCAGCAAATAGACCACCTACAGGACACTGCACTGGGCACTGAAAGGACACTCCTAATGTTCACCCAGATGAATGCTATGTCCTGGAGGCCCTGTCCATCTGATCCTCCAGTTTTCAGTATTAACCCCTGCCAGTCTACCACTATGATGCATTTGACTCCAGAGTCTTGAGAAGCAAGTTTTGCCTCTGTACTGAATGGCTCTCACAATATCTCCAGTAGAGTTTAGTAGACCTGCAATACATCTAAGATGTCATGTTTTATATCATTTAGAAGGATTTGTGTTTTATTTTTTAATTTAAAAGTAACTAGTTCAACTTATCCTTTACTGATGAGAAACTGAGGAAGTGAGTTGCCATGATTGTCATATCCCTGGAATCCCTGAATCTTAGTCCAGGGCCTTTTCTATCATCCAGCTTCTAAGAAACCAAATGATTCATCAAGATCTACCATAAACAATAAGATGACAGGGTATCCTGAGGAAACAGTTTATAGTATAAAGGCATTAATTTGGGAATTAGAGACTTGCAGAGAAACTCATGCAACAGTCCACTACTGTGTCTGTGGGGTATTGGTCTCTCCTCTCCTGCCTTCCAAATGTCATGTGAATGTCACTCCTTGGCTGACTCTTACCCCCAAACCTTAGGAGCAAGAGAAGGCTGTGCAATGTGGCTCACAGCTTCTCCTCTGGAAGAAGAAAGTGGTGATGTTGAGTTAACAACAGAAGACTCAACATCTGTGGATTCATCAGTGTTAAAAACTGTGATGGGGCAAGGTTCTGAGTAGATAAGCAAGGGGACTTGCTGAGTTGTGAATTAGTCTGTTCTTAAGCTGCTATAAAGAACTGCCCAAGACTGGGTAGTTTATAAAGGAAAGAGATTTAATTGACTCACAGTTCTGCATGGCTGGGAAGGCCTCAGAAAACTTACAATCATGGACAAAGGGGAAGCAAACATGTCCTTCATTGCATGGCAGCAGGAGAGAGAAGTGCTGAGCATAGGAGGAAAAGTCTCTTATACAACTGTCAGATCTCATGAGAACTCACTCATTATCACGAAAACAGCATGGTGGAAACCACTCCCACAGTTCAATTTTCTCCATCTGGTCCCACCCTTGACACATGGGGATTATTACAATTAAAGATGAGATTTGGGTGGGGACACAGAGCCAAACCATATCAAGGTGTTAGCCAATTAACCAGAAAAATGCCCAATCAGAACAGGTCTTTTCCAAATCATATCTCTCTCTCTGTCTCTCTTTCTGTTTCTATAATTGCTTGGGCCTGAAGTACTTGGAAAATTTCTTCCCTCTAGCAGAGATCATGTTCAAGGAAAAGAAAAGTGCCTTTTTAGACATTAGAGGCTACAATAGGTGCATGTGCTTTGACAGTCGCCCTCCAGTGGGGTGAGTGAGAGGGAGCACTTTGGAAGATTTGAGAGACCTCCTCCCTGCAGAACTGGGAGCGAACCAGAGGGAGCAGCCTAGGGCCTGAATACAAACTAACGCCAAATTTATGCAGACTGAGTGGCTAATATCTTCTAGATAGTTCAGAGATGCATTGGGTTATACATTGTTCATGATGAAAGTCAAAGCCAAATCAATGAACAGATTGTTTACATTACAACTTAGCCAAATGGGAGGTTTTATTTGTGGATTGTAATGATAAATCCTTTGTTCATCCCATATTTATTGACCACCTACTGTAGTAGGTGTAGTGGGTATAGTACATGTAGTAGGTCCAGGTCCTGGGCTGAGAGTAGAAAATGCATAGATGAATAAGATAAAATGCCTGCCTTCAGGGAGCTAGTAATCTAGCTTAGAGACCAACTTAATAAGTTAGCTACTGCTATAAAATACACTAAGTGCTATGATGAAAGAACAAAGGACATATGGGAACAGGGAGGAGTGAGTGTCAGGCTCTTCTTTTGTGAGGAGCAAGCTTTGCTAAGGAAGAGATGATTGAATTGAGTCTTGCAAAATGAATAAGCATTCAACAGGCAGAAGAGTGTGCATTCTGTGAGGTGGTAGTGCAGTTCTAGACAATGAGAATAGTATGAAGGAGGAGATAGACACCATGTGATGACTAAATTGTATGTGTCAAATTGGTTAGGCTGTGGTGCCTAGATGTTTGGTCAAACACTGGTCTAGATGTTGCTGTAAAGATATTTTGCAGATGTTATTAATATCTATAAAGAGTTGGCTTTAAATAAAGAAGATTACTTTCTTTACTATGGGTGAGCCTCATCCAATCAGTTCAAGGCCGTTAAGGGCAAAAATTGACCTTTCCTGGAGAAAAAGGAATTTAGCTTCAAGACTATAACATAGAAATCCTGTTTGAATTCCCAGCCCAATGTCCTTCTCTACAGATTTCAGACTTGCCAGCCCCTGCAACCATGTGAGTCAATTCCTTAAAATAAATCTATTAATATATAGTCGACCCTTGAACAGCCTTGGGGTGAGGGCGACCAATCCCTTGTACAGTCAATAATTCATGTATAACTTTTGACTCTATCAAAACTTAATAACTAATAGCCTATTGTTGACCAGAACCCTTACTGATACACAATTGACACACATTTTGTGTGTTGTATGTATTATATACTGCTTCTTACAATAAATTAAGTTACAGAAAAGAAAATGTTACTAAGAAAATAAGAGAAAGTATACTCGCTACTCATTAAGTGGAAGTAGGTCATCATAAGAGTCTTCATCCTGATCACCTTCACATTGAGTAGGCTAGGAGGAAGAGGAGGAGTTGGTCTTGCTGTCTCAAGGGTGGCAGAGGTAGGAGAAAATCTGAATAGAACTAGACCTGTGCAGTTCAACCCTGTGTTGTTTAAGGGTCTATTGTATATCCCTTTGGTTCTATTTGTCTGGAGAACCTTGACTAATACACAGCAGGTGCAAGATGTACCCAGATAAGAAGAGATTCATCATGGCAGAAGTGCAGAGAATGGTGGGAGATGGGGCCATGAGGGAGACAACATGATTGTGAAGAACTTTTTGGCCGTGCTCCTAAATTGGGATCTTATCCTGTAAGTATACAGGGGGCACTGAAAAATTGTAGGCAAGGATTGCCACACCATGTCCACTAGAAAAACTCTCTGAGAATCCTCCAAATAGAAGAGGGATGGGATGGGACAGAATTGCTGGCAAGAAAAGATGGCCTCATAGACACTATCTCATTGTTGCCTAAGTCTTAAGATGGAGTCTTCACTCTCATTCTTTCTCCTTGTGTCTAGTGCACGAGGTCTTTTTAGCCTCTTCACCTTGTTTTACACTGTGTGCTAGGTGAGATACATGAGCAAGCCAGGCTGTCCTGGTGACCAGAATTTTAGGTCACCATCCCACAAGGGACACTAGCACTAGACCCATGAACATAGATACTTTAGCTGTAGTCTGCCTTCCCAGGCCCATCAGCATTGCAATTGTCACTTTCCTGAGTGACACCCTTGGAAATTCATCACCATGTCACATTTGGCAGCTGAACCAACGAGCGTCTTTTATTTATGTATGAGCTGAGCACTGGGGAGCAGCAAGCCTCTGTCTCCAGATCTACAGGGCTGCTGATCTTGAGAGAGCAGCATATTTATTCAAAACCATCCTGAGCTGCGTGAGACCTTTACACATTTGTAAGTAAATAGACTGGGATTATTCATGCTTCCTGTGCAGGCCCCATTCATTGCCTTCCCTAAAGGCTGTAGGCAGCTTTGCAGGAAAGAAGGTTCCAGCCAGTCAGAAGGGCAGCATTCATCACCAGGTGATTTGTTTACTGCCTTTCACCCAAAGGGCCCCCAGCTGCATTGTAGAAGAATCACTAAGCTGCCAGAAAAATATGGCCACCTTCCCACTTGTGCTCTGGAGACAACCCCCTAGCAAGAAGCACAAGGGGTCGGGCAGAGAGAGAATTCAATAGTTGCCCCTGAGAAGAGCCTCACAAAAGGGCCACCCAGGCTTGATTTTACTATCAACCCAGCAGGCTCAGCGCTGCATGCTCCTAATCCACGGACTGAGCAAAACCCAAAGTGTTTTCTCTTGGTTCCCAACAGCTTAACAAGGCCTCCATGATACTTTTCTTTACTCTGGGGCTCTGCAAAGGGATGAGACCAAGTACATTGGATTTGGGTCCATGAAATGCTAAGAATCCAGCTTAAAATCAGATTCTGCTGTGAGGGAACCCTTGAAAACTCCTTTGGCCTGTATTTTTCATCACTTTTTCTCTTTGAGAAGGGGTTTATAGTTCTGTAAGTATCAATCCAGCAAAACTTGAATCATGGTTTCAGGCCAAGTCTAAGCTTCTAGGACTGACTTAGATGGGGAATTTAAAGAAGTCGATCTGACTAACAGAACATATGAGAAACATCACAGAGTGACAAGCATGTCCCCAAAGACTCAGATGCCTTTGGTTTTCACCAATAGAAGATTAGGGTCCATCTCCTTAAGCTCCTCCAAACACTGGGAAAAGAGGTGTGTGTGTGGAGGGGGGGTGGTTAGGGCACAGGGTGAGCTTCAAGTGGAAGGAGTATTTGCAGAGCTGTAGTCTGTCATTAAAACCTTGAACCTTTGCTCTTGTCCAGCAAATGGGCAAATCCTGACTCAGATCCTTTGATGGAGGACATGGTGGAGACAGAGTACCCAGAACACCTGTGTGACCCTAAGTGCATTGTTACACAGCAGTGAGGCTCAATATTTTTAAGCATTTCAAAGAGAAGAGAAATGTGGGGCAGCACGGAGATCCTGATCTCCAAAGCCCAAGATTTATAGCCTGTATTTCAGTCTCAGATTTCCTTGTGGGAGAATTTTTGGCTGTTGTGATGATGTTTTGTTTTAATGACCTTTTCTACACGTTTCTTAGTGTAAACTACAAGAAGCCCATGAGCGATGCTGGGGGAAGCTGACAAGCATTCTGCTGGCCTAGGGCACTTTGTCTTGGTGATGTCATTCTGTCCTCTGTTCTAACCTTTGCTGCTCCACTGTTGATTTTTTTCTCAGGCACAGAGAATACGAAAGCATAATTGATATATACACCTGCCCTACCTGGGACAATGAGGGACCCCTGTTCTTCCACAGCCACTTGCTCTCCACATCACACGCTATTTCTATGGTACTTTGTTATAAGGTCCTGTGGTCAGAGATTGTCATATAAACCTATGTCACAGATGACATAATTTGCATATTCACAGAACCATCTAAAAACGACACAAAAATCTGCCAAAGACATAATATATTTTGAAGATGGGTGACTAATAATGCAAACGTTAGGGCACTCCTTGTAAGCATCATTAACTCAAGGATGCTTTATAAAGTACGTATAACATAGACATTAGAGGGTTTTTAAAAACTGTAACAGGAAAAAACGGAAACTAATTATTACAGTTTCATATTGTGAAATTGTCAAAGAGTTGATACGACTTAAAGTTGTTCATGACCCCTGCAAAGCTGAGGCCCAATGAGTTAATTCAATAAGAAAATAGTTTTAGAAAGAATAAGCTGTCCTTGCATCTTAGAATTGTTCCTGTGTCTAAGAACAAGTAGGAGATGGTGAGATTTATGGACAAAAGACTTTGAGTCGAGGTACCTTCCTCCTCACCACATCTGGACACACCTGACCTTAGCCTTTGGCTATGGTTTATTCATCTGATATTGAGAAAACCGCACCAGGTAATTATTTGAAAAGCAGAGTATTAGAAAAGGAAAATTTCAAGAGAGCTGACTCAAAAGAACAGTGGGATAGAGGATATGGTTGCCTGAAAGCCATTTCTTGGCAGTTGTTGCTAAAAACTAGAAGGTTCTGACTTGATTTTAATTGGTAGTTCTGGTCACACTGGGAGCAGCTTTGCCCCAGAGCAATCAGAGGGAGAAGCTTTAAAATGGCCGGAGGTGGCCAAGATGCACAGAGGCTCTGGCAAGTGTAGCAGCTGGGTCTTGTTGCCTACTTGGTAGTTGCCGTTGCTATAAGCTGCTCTGGGAAGACAGCAAAAATGCAAACCACAGGGAGAATTTAGTGGCTGTTTTAATATTTGCTGAGTGTCCATGAAGTACTCTTACTGAATATAAAGAAGATACTGAGATGAGTGACACCACCCCCACTCTGGAGGGGACACACGTGTGAGTAATTATACAGACAGTAAAGCATGACAGCATTGCCTTGATGGAACTAGGGGTAGTGGTACAAAATAAATATGGAAAGATAGTTTAAAGATAAATGATATGTATGGGTTGATGAGTTAGACTTTGACATTTATAAAGCAAGGAACCACTGGATATTTCAAATACAGAATTAGAACTTTGTGTTTCTATACAACTGCCCTGACAGCATCCGTAAAGGTTTGATATAAGAAATGGGGATTTGAGAGAGGCAGGCCTGGTCAGAAGCTATGGCTTATACAGTAGACCAGGAAAAGATAATGAGCGGCACAGTGAGAGTGAGAAAGGAGAGAAGATGTGGGCATCAGAATCTTTTTTATTTTAATTTTATGAATGCATAATGGTTGTATATATTCATGGGGTACAGGCAATATTTTGTTATAAGTATGCAATGTGTAATGTTTGAATCAGGGTAACTGGGATATCCATCATCTCAAACATTTATCATTTGTTTGTGTTGGGACCATTTCAAATGTACTCCTCTAGTTATTTTGAAACATACAATAAATTATTATTAACTATAGTTGCCTTATTGCACTACCAAACACTAGATATTATTCCTACAACTATATTCTTATATTCACTAATTGATCCTTCTTTATCCCCCACTTCCTGCTACCCTTAAAAAGAATGGTAATTCTTAAAAAAAAAAAAAACTTGGTAAGAGACTGTAGGTAATCCATGAAAAAAAAAAATTTGATGTTTTCAGCCCACAGGGAGTAGTGACAAGGAAGAGAGAGAGAGATGGAGAGAGAAAGAGAGATACGGAGAGACAAAGAAGCAGATTCAATAAATATGGTGCCTTGGGATGGTCAAGAAAATGTATCCAGTGGAGAGTTCCATCAAGTCGATGAAACTCAGAAGGATCATCCACTTTGAGGATCAGGATTTGGAAGACCTCAACCTATAAGCATTATTTGAATCTGGGAGATCAAACAGTGCTGAGCACACAGCTGTGTCAATGGCTAGTCCAACTGGCCAATGCTGGGAAAGTGGATGCAAGGGCCCAAGTCTCTATTCTTCCTTTTCATTGTATTATGAAGACAGAAATAACATAGATCTCTTGGAGTCAGCAGAACAATGCTCCCTGCAAAGATGTCCATGTTCTAACCTCCAGAACCTGTGAATAGATTAGATTATATGGCAAAGTGGAATTAAGGTTGCAGATGGAATTGAGGTTGCTAATCAATGACCTTAAAATAAAATTATCTTGGATTATTCAGGTGGACATAATGTAATCACCGAGGTCCTTGTAAGTGGAAGAGAGAAATGGAAGAGAAGATCTGAACCAGAGAGATGGAAGCATCCCAGCTGGATCTTGAGGGAGGAAGGTCTCTTTGAAGACAGACAAGGGGGTCACAAGCCAAGGAATGCAAGTGGCCTCTAGAAGCTGGAAAAGACAAGGAAGTGGATTTTTCCCTAGAGCCTCTAGAAGAAACTCAACTCTGCCAACATCTTGATTTTAGCCCAGTGAGATCCGTTTAGTATTTCTGACCTTCAGAACTGCCAGTCTCTCTCACCTTTTCTCCTGAGGCCTTAACTCCTTTCCACATTTCTCTCTTTCTCCACTCAAAGTGTTTCTCTCTGCCTGGCCAGGTCCCAAGCAGCTGCTAAGATGCCATTATTTGGGGGCTCTTCTGAGTGCAGTAGGCCCTTACCTGGAAGGAACTATCTCCTACCTCCAGGAGCCAGCAGTGGCAGACCCTTTGCTGAAAGAATGTACAGCCTGGCCTCATACCCGGACATGATGCTGTCAGGATCAACACTGGGAAGAGAGTGATCAAAGAATCCACCAGAAGACTGTGATGCAATTACAAAGGCCTCAGACAGTCCCACTGGGTGCTCAGGAGCTGGGATGGTCCCGCCAAACTCTCCCAAATTGGGACAGGGGTATCAGGCCTTTTAACTTCTGTATCAACCAGCCATTGGATGTGGGATACCCCCTGGAAAGGGGATGTGATGTTAAAACAGGCAGCTCTCCTCAGCTGAGGATAATTGTGGAGTTGGGTGTAAGACTCAGCTATAAGCTGCTAGCCATAAAGATCCCCAGTCCTATAGCGCGTATATGGATGGTGCACTACAGCATCCTCTATAGAGGCCAACATTTCCCCTACCATCAGGGTTCCTTCATTCCCCTCCTTCCTCCACCCTCATCTTCAAGGTCCAGCCTAGACATTACCACACCACCACAGCCCCTCCCAAGACACAGGGACCTCTCTCTTCCTACAGAGCCTCAACGTGCATTGCACTTGCCTTATTTGGAATTTTATGTGAGTTACTTCCTCTGCGATTTACTGGCCAGGGTTCTTTCCCCAGTTCAGCATGCACTAAGGACCACCCTTGCTACTTCAACCCTATTCCTCTCCCCGTCCCCTTTGACCCAACCCCCCCGCACCCATCACCACTCCCACACGCACATATGCACACATGCAAGGCAACGCATCGGCCAAACCATATGGCATAAGGCTGGCCACACCAATATAGGTTTGTTAGATATTTGATTGACACAAAAGAAAGAGAAATGGTGTTAGACGTAACTTTAGAACTAGGAGAATGTGCTGGGGTAGCAGGAACACATTTCTTGGATGGCTGATAAAATTCTTCTGCTTCCAATATGACAAATCCAGGAAAGTTGCTGCTGCTTCTAACCCAGCACAGAAATCTCTGCCAGGTTTTGCTGCAGAATGAGCACAGCACTGCTGGAGGAGCAGCAAACCCTTAACATGCATCCAGCACCAGAACTGGGGCAGTTACAATATGGGACACTCAGGCTCTGGCCTCCTCTGCTCCCCAGCCAGGTTCTTCCAGCTAAACCACCTCTTAATTGTATATGACATAAACTTCCAGGTTCTGGGTTCCCTGTTTAATAGTCAAACAAATAATGGTCTTAATTGCTTGTGAAAGACCTGTAAGATTTTAAGAGGAAAAGCTAATGAAATGAGAAAAGAGTAAAGCTGCCCTGGCTTGCCCTATCAGAATAAAGAACCCCACTGGGTTATAGCAGGTGACCCCTGATTTTTGCTTTATCTTTCTTACCTTTTCATTTCATTGGTTATAGCTGCGGGGGTGACAGAGCTGAGAATACCACTTAGTGAGCTCTTATTGGTGTGAAACAGTCTTATTGCTTTGTGGAAAGAAATTGCAGGAAGCATTTTTAGATATTGATATCTGTTTGTCAGAGAAAGTACAGTCATTCATGGAGGGTTTCGACAGGTCAATTTTGCAGAGAGAACCAACAACCTAGAATCTGTGGTTTCATATTTTCAAATGTCTGGCTTCATCTAGGATTCACAAAATGGGCACAGGAATCTTTGACCATCTTTCCCCACTCCTCAGCCTCCAGCCCCAGTCCTGCCCCCAATTTGCAGAAAATATTTTCATGCACTTTAGATCAGTGTAATCACTCATTCTTCAATTTATTTCATTTGTAAATGGGAACTTAGCTGATTTTATTATTCTGCATTATTAAGCATCATCTGTTTCCAGATGGTCTGCAGAGTCTGTCCGAGCTAAGGATGTGTGTCCCTGGGCTTTTGCTAATCAATCACCAGGGGCACATGGTCTGCAGGCTTCACTTTCAATAACTGGTCTGTGTTTTTCCAAATGGATTTACATTTTTATGTTCAAATGATGACTTCTCTGGAGACGCATACCATGAACGTCTGGCTTGCTATTATTACATGTACAAGTCATAAAGCTATGTAATAAGACTCATAAAAACATGCAAATGTTTTTTCCAGTTCTTTTCCAGGGAGGAAAGAAACATGATCAGCCATAAAATCTGAAGCTTTGCAAAGCTGATTGTTCTGCTGGGAAATGATAGGAAGGAGAAGAAAACTTCCTCAGAGATGTCCATTTTCAAATAAATAAATAAATGCATAAATTAATACATAATCAAGCAAGCCTGACGATTCCAGAATTTTGTGTGGACAGGGGAGTCACCTCCAGTGGTTGGGAAAAGAGACCTGCAATGTCCTGTTCCAAGAAAGAATGTGCTCTTCCTGCTCTTCACCATGGACCCCTCTGGAAGCCCCATCACTCATGCTCTCCACCTTGGGAATTCATGCAAGAGGCCAACCTCTCTATTTGCCACTTAGAATTCTTTCTTTCACTCCTCCAGGCCACACTGGTCCCTCCTGACTGGAACCCTCTGACTCATCACACTCAGCTCTCAATTTTATTTTCAGCCTGTGCTTTTTCCTCGCTAGGTGGTTCATGACTTTAGCTCCAAAAAAGATTTCAGGCTCTTAAATAACATATACCTCTCCCACATTTACTGTCCAACCCATATGTCCTGCATACTCTTCAACTCATCCAACAGTTGCTATAATCAGTAGATACTCAATAAAAGCTGCACAACTTAGGTGTTCAAAGCCACTCACACATGGATTCCCTGTATCCATGCGAGCTCACCTCAGTCCATTTTTCATCCTGCAGCCACAGTGAATTTTCTCATGCAACTCTGATCACAGCACTCCCCAGCTTAAATCCTCCCCAAATTATTAACCTGCCCAATAAACCCGGCCACGTCCTGCCAAGTCTAGCTCCTGCCGTCCTCCTCAGCTCCCCTTACATCTTTCTGTCTCAGCATTCTCTGCTCCAAACACATGAAGCTGCTTTCATTTCCTGTATGCCAGGCTTCCTCCTGTGTAAGATATTTCAGTCAGGCTGTTCCTTCCGTCTAAACCCTGTTCCCCCTTCTTTGACAAGTTAGCATGCACTCCATGACCTACTCATCTTTCAATTTGCACTTATTCAATTTTCCTTCTTCATGGAGATCTTCCCTGATCTTCTAAATCACTTTCAACCCTCTGTTCCATGGTTACATGGTACCTGATACTTCTCCTCTGTATTCTTTCCAACAGATAGAATTAATATAATTATTTAAATAATTGCTATCAACCTCTGTAAACTTGGAACACAAACCTGTTTCTTCCCCCATAATAACAAGGACTATACTTCATTTATCACTGCAGCCTACAGCCTAGCGGATCCTGAAATACAATAGGTGCTCTATCAACATGTTTTAATCAGTCAAGGAATAAATACAATAGATGACACATTTCCAGTTGTCCCTTCACCCCTGGTCTTTCCCTGGCCCAGGCATCTTGAGTTTGCGGTAAAATGTTGATCATAGGTACTTCAAAAAATGTCACGCCTGTATCACCAGGTATGACAGTTGTCCCAGGGAGGTTGAGATCATTCTCAGTGCCTGCTCCCTGTAACCTCCCTCAGCCACAGAATTGAGCAACGCCAATGAAGTGAAAAAGCCCCAAGACAGGGAAGAAGTGCATGGGTTGGTGAAACACTTGACACTGCCTGCAGACCCGTCCTTCCTGAATTGCCCTCTCCTCTTGGCCCTACGGCTGCCATGGCCCCCTGGACTCCCTCCTCTCCTTCTGACCTCTCTTTCTCAGCTTCCTTCAAGGGCTCATTGAGCTAAGTCTGTCCTAGAAATGTTTATGGTCTGTTCTTGGACCTATTTTTGGAGCTCTCTCTTCTCCCTTTGATCCTGAGACCTGTATATCCAGCTACCTTCTGCATGTTGGCTCTCCCACAGACACCTCAGTTCCTATAAAAATGAACTTTCCCTCTTCATTCTCCATTCCCAAGCAGTATAAGATAAAACGAAAACTCTCCTCTTCCCCCTACCTTCCCCCTCTCAGGGAATGACGTCACCTTGGGTTCTTTGTGATTCAAGCCAGCCAGCATTGAGTCATCTTTGACCATGTCTCTATCCCTACAACCAATTATTCACCAAATTCTACTGCTAACACCTTCCAAATAGCTATCAAATCTGCCCATTCTCTGCCATCTCCACTGCCTCTGCTCAGTTTAGCACAATAATCTTTCACCTGGACAACTGCAGCAGCTTCCTCTCTAGTCACCCTGCCCCCTCGTAATTGCTCTAACTACAAACCAATTTCCACATCACAGCCAGAGTAATATTTCTAAAATAAAAGTCTGATCAGGCCACTTCCCTGTCTAACCCAACATTGACTCTCCATTGCTCACTCTATTAAATCCATCAGCTCAGCATGGTGTTTTCCTGCCACTTCCTCCCATCAGACTCTCAGGTCCAATCGTCCTGAACCACTTGCCTCCTCACCATGATGTCTGTTCTCTCTGGATTTTTGCATACATTCCTACTTCTGCCTATCCATTCCTACTTGATCTTTAGGTCTTAATGTAGATAATGTCTTTTCTGTGAAGATGTCCTGGTTCTGCCTGGATTAAGGCAGTTATCCCTCCTCCACACTGCCAGAGCGATCAGCCACCTGTGTTGATCCCGTGCTTACTCTGGCAGTACTCACCCCTTTAATCTCGGAGTCTAATCTGTTTCCACCCACTCTCTTAGCTGCTCATTATTAAAAGCACATTGCTCTGGGCTTTCACCAAAGGCACGATCCCTTTGCCCCAAAATCTACAGCCTTAAGCTCATCAAGATAAAGAGGTCAAATAAAACTGACCACAGATAAATGAAGAAACTCAAGTGGTACCTGTGCTTTAAGGCTTATTTTGATTTAGAGGATACAAGTATAGACTTTATTTCACATGGACAGAGAGGCAGATGATAAATTGTGGGTGAGACTTTGAAATGGAAACAGATGTTAAGCTCAATGCCCAAGGCTTGTTATGTGATCCTCGATGCTATTAGATTGTGGGCAGAGACCATGTCTATCAGTGAAACCCTGGTGAAATAGTTGTTGAAAGAATGACCTGTAATTGTAAAAGCTACATATAATTGGTAAAAATCCAAATTGTAAAATTCATTGTGAAGATTCTGAGTTTGCAATATCTTTTTCCTCAATATCCCTCTAGTCATTAGGTATAAATTCTGAAACAATTTCTGGATGAAGGATGAACAGATATAATATTGCTCACTGGGTCATGTCTTACAAGCCTACTGTGTGTCTGCATGAAGCTCTGTGGGGAATACAGAGCTGAACAAGGGAAAGCTATCGTATTGCAGACAAGCACTGAACTGGGAGCTAGAGCTCCTTCCTATAGGACTTTCACAAGCCTCTTATTTTTTCTGAAACTTGGTTTCCTTTCCTGTAAATTTGGGAACATCATACTTACCTTGACAAGCTGCTGTGAGAAGTGAAGGAGATAACATTTTTGAAATCTCAGATTGTTTTAGTCCATTCAGGCTGCTATAACAGAATGTTTTAGTCCATTCAGGCTGCTATAACAGAATACCATGAACTAGGTGGCTAATAAACAACAAACATTTATTGCTCAACGTTCTGGAGGCTGGGAAGTTCAAGATCAGACACTTCTGGTGAGGGTCCATTTCCTAGTTCATAGTTAGCCTTCTTCTCAATATGTCCTCACATGGCCAAAGGGAGGAGGCAACTCCCTGGGGTCTGTTTTATAAGGGCACTAATCTCATTAATGAGGGCTCTGCCTTCATCACCTAATCTCCTCCCAAAGGCCTTATCTCCTAATACCATCTCATGAGGGATTAGGTTTCAACATACAAATTTTGGAGAGACACAAATGTTCAGACCATAGCACAGGAGCTCATAAATATCATTTATTTCATAAAACAAGGTTCCTTTCCTTAGCAAGCTCAGCAGTTAGCAGGAGAGATAGACACGCACATACACAGAACAAAACATAATGCAAGGTGGGACTGAAGTCTTCAGGAAGAAGGACCAGGTGCTTTAACAGAGCAGGCTGTCCTGAGACTAGAGCAGTGGACACTCGCCACCTCCCAGGTTCTCGTTTCCTTCTGACCATCTCGGACTTTGCTCACAACCCCCATCTGGGCTGATGGTGCTGTCGCTGAATTGTTGGGCCTAAAGTATAGCATGTTCCATGTGAAACCAATGAAAGCCTTTCTACTGCCTCTAGTTTTATTATACTGGTGAGTCTCCCTTGGAAAGGCAATTTTGTCTGTAGCAATAAGGCCAAACTAAGATGTCAAATCATTAAATATATTTCAGTCCCCTGACTCTTCAGGTGATTTCTTTCGAAAAGTTTATTTTCTTAGGAATCAATTTTTCCTCCTATAGCCTTCCCTACAACCCCATCCCCTTAGCGTTCCTCTCATGCAGGTGCCTGGCCCTCTGCGAATGCGAAGCTCCCCGCTGTGCTCCAGACAGCACCTGCCTCTGCTTCCACAGGAGTCAGGCACTAGGTAGAAGAAAGAGCTTGTACATGAGACCCAGCTCTGCCCCATCTGGCCTGTCCCCTGCATACTTTGCCTTCTCTGAT
Source organism: Homo sapiens (assembly GCF_000001405.40). Taxonomy (NCBI): domain Eukaryota; kingdom Metazoa; phylum Chordata; class Mammalia; order Primates; family Hominidae; genus Homo; species Homo sapiens. Next base: position 21,402,476 of record NC_000002.12, on the reverse strand, counting down.
ACTTGAAATGAAAATACATTCCCTGTACCACATACACCACCCCTTCCTGGCCTTCTCCTTCCCAGGTTCATATCCACCTTTGATTAATGGAGTTCTACTCATCTTCCAAGATAACTTGTCACCTCTTATAAACTGTTGGCAATTCTTTTTGAGAGAATGTATTCATTTTGGCCTGCCTTCACCACGCTATGGGCAGAAACTAGGTAATATTCACAGTAATGTGTAATATTTTGTTTGCTCATACCACCATCTACATGATGCAGAAGCTCAGCTCCGTGTCAAGCATTCCCACCAAGACTTTCTGGAAGCTTCCCATGCCGTGTCTCACTATGGCTCACATATGCCCTTGGATAGGTCTGTTCCCAAGGGGAACTCCATCTCTATGTCTGTCTTGGCAGTGTTTTCTACCAAGCTACCAAGCTCCATTGCTTTCTCTCTGAAAACTGGGGTCTCCCCAGGGCCAATTATTACTCCTGTGGCCCCCAGAGCTTCCACCCTGCTCTGAGGACACTGTAATCTCCATCAGGCCCTGTCTATACCTCCCACAACCCCATATACCACCATGTGCTTATTTTATAAATGTTTCCAAAGTGTACTCCAAGGATAAGAGTTCTGCAGAATGCCAACATGTGTTTCATAGATTAACAAGAACATGCTAGATTCCATGATTAAATAAGGAACACTACATTGTTGCTTCTCAAAGTATGGTCCTTGAACCAGCAGTATCAGCATCACTTGGTAGCTTCTTAAAAACGCAGAAACTCAAGTCTCACCCCAGACTTGAATGTTAACAAAATCCCCAAGTGAATCATATACACACTGAAGTCTGAGAAGCACTGATCTAAATTAAACAAAATTAAGCAGATTTCTTTATGCAACTTCCACAGAGCTTTTAATATGCTAGTATGTAGTATAAACTCCAAGAAGCACATAAACTATGCAAGACGAGTGTTCTGCAATGCACATTTTCAGAACACTTGCATTGGAACTTCACCATGCCCAATTGTACTGTGGTCTAGAATGGCTTGGGAGATAAGATCTTTTCTCTTTCAGCCTGTTGATTATATTCCAACAGTAGTATGCTGGCAAATGTTAAATCAGCAGCTCTCCATAGGACAAAACAGTCCTGATTTATAGGACTTGCCAAATTCCATGGTGTAAATATTCGCACCATGGCTGATTTCAAGCTACCATGGTGGTGTCACTGGAGAGCGATGCATACAGTCAGCTCTGGAGAGCAGATAGGAGCCAGCTCCAGCACTACACTAGTGGAGAGTGCCTCAGCCATGTGCCTGCCCCCAGCAATTCATACATGTTTAAGTGGAGTATCTAGTCCAGTTTGTACTTCCCCCTTCCATCTCTTCCATTCACCCTTTAGTGGCAGATACCAGACCGTACTCAGAATTATCCTTCCATGGCTAAGGTTTTCTTAGTAGGACCAACTAAGGTTTTCTTAGTAGGACCAACTTCACCATATTCTTCCTTCATCATCCTTCCCTCAGAATGAGCTCTCCCACCAGATGCCTTATTCTTCCAAAGGAGTGATTTCTGATGCACTAAACCCACCAACTTGCCAGACCTAGTCTAAAAATTCAATGCAGGTTGAGAAACATACAGAGTTGGTGCTCCCATAGCATCATGTCAAGGCTTCCACAACAGCATACATTTGTCATATTGTGTTGTAATTGGCTGCGCTTCCCTTTCCCCTGGATACCATGAGTTCCTTCGGGCAGAGTCCTTGTCTAAATCACCTTTATATCTACAGTGCCCAACATGATAAGTGTTTGAGGAGTGGTAATAAACACAAGAAATCATGCTTATGGGATAGCCTGAAGGTGAAAGGAGATGGTTTACTCCTATTGGGTTTACCTTCCATCCTCTGAGCCTTGCCTTTTCAACTTTATGAGCCATGAGGAGTCCACTCCTAACTCCTACTGTAGCTGGCACTTAACACAAGTGTGCTGAGCATCTACTATGGGCTAGACCCTCTGAGCTAGGCTGAGATAAGTAAGAAGCAGTCTCATTCCATAGGGAGCTAGAGTAAGAAGATGCATGGCCACGTTCACATAGTAAATAAGTGGCAGGGTTGAAATAAAAACCAGATTTCCATATTCCTAGCCTAGAGTTCTTTCTTTACGGATTGCTCTTGGGAGCTGCCCTTTGTGAAACTGGTAATGTTTCTCAGTTTGAATCTTTGCTTGTGCTAATCTATGTCATTTTGGATCTTCCATAGCCTTTCTTGTAGTCCAAATATTTGTGAATTGATTTTCTGAAGATATTTTCTGCTTCCAGCCTTTTGATAAAACTGAAACTGGAATTACATTACCATCTTTCTTACCACAAGAAGAGAAACTGCTGGGCACAGAAGCATACTCCTGTAGTCTCAACTACTTGAGAGGCTAAAGTGGAGAATTGCTTGAGCCCAGGAGTTCGAGGCCAGCCTGGGCAACATAGTGAGACCCTGTCTCTAAAAATATATATTAGAGGAAAAAAAAAAAGAAACCTTTAATTTACTAATTATATTCACTCAACAAGTACATATTAAGTGCCTACTATTGCCCAGTACTGTTACAGGCCCTTGAAAAACAGCAGTGGGGAACTCAAAATGAGTCTATGCCTTCCTGGTGTTTGCCCTCCAGCAAGGACAAATAGAAATAAACAATAAACTTAATTTAAAAGTCGGTTGCCTGTAACATCAGAAAATGATAAGTGCTATGGTTTTACTATGGTCACTTTGCCGATCCCGTCCAATCATCCAGCAATCTGCTTTCAGAGGAACCTTTATAAAACACAAATCTCACCATGCTAGTTCTCTGATTAAAACCCTTCAATTGTTCCCATTGCATCGAGGATAAAGCCCATGGCTCTGATCTTTTGTTACCCCTCCAGCTGGGTCTCTTATCACAGACCCCCCACCTTGTCACCAAACCTGCAAGTGTGCAGGGCCCATGGACACACCATGCTATTTCATGACTTTCAAAGAATCTGCAAGAAGAATCTGTCACCCCTTCTTCTGGGTCTTCATTGAACTCTGTTCTTCATGGATCCTTTGGAATATTTAAGGAACTGTACCACCATGACTCACCTCTGCTTCTGTATTAGCCCCTAACAGCCATGGATCATGTTTGTTTACCTTTATATACCTAGGAACTGTAGGTTGAATACATATTTGTTGATTGAGAAGACTAGCCAATTTGTGATACCAGGGACATGACACAGAGGGTAGCTAATTCCAGGCCAAGGAGGACAAGTAGCCATCTCATTTCTTATGTTCTGTATATTATATAGGTTAGTGAATGGCAAAATATCACCTGCAGGCCAAATGTAACCTAACACCTATTATTGTAAGTTACATTTTATTAGAATACAGTAACTCTCTTTTATTTACATATTATGTACGGTAACTTTCACCCTATCATGGCAGAGTTGAATAATTACAACAGAGACCATGTGGCCCCTGAAGCACAAAATATTTACTGTCTGCATCTTTAAATAAAAAGTTTGCTGACCTCTAATCTAGTCAGAGTTGGTTTGATCAAACTTTTAAAACGTACACAATTTACATAACTTTTCCCCTGGTTACTCCAGAAAAAGGTGCAGGATAGGCCCATAGTCAAGGATTGCTGGGCAAGTGAATATAGAACAGTCCAAAGGAGATCCATTAAAAGATACAATACCTCATGCTGAGCTTTTCAAAGGAAGGCTTTTTTTCTTTCTGACAGGATTTATACGATTCTGTTTAATATCAGAGCTTGACATGTTAAATGAATACTCCATTAAGGAGATTATAGCAATGAGCATATTAAAATGTCCTGCAATGACATTCATCACTGCTTCAACATATATTTATTGAGCACCTAATATATAAATAATCCTTCTTATGATGATAATAATTCTTGTATCAAGCTCAATATTTTAAAAGTACTCCTGTAAGTCAGGGTCGACAGAGAGTGGGCTCTGAGATACAGAGTAGCCTACAGGAAGTGTCTTGGGCAGTGCTCTCAGGATTAATATCTAGAGGGAAAGAAAGGCAAACAGCTCTGGGGAGAGGAACATCTTGCACTGTTGATCTTCAGTGCAATCACAACAGTCTCAGCTGACCCCACAGGGAAATCTGGAGCTGGAATGCTCTTCCAGAATTGTCTGCAGTTGGGCTTTATGTCTCTGCAATGACTGGCCTTTGAGGAAGACTGATTGTGGGAAGGGGGCTCTTCACAGCCAAGGGCAATTCCTGGAAAGGGCAGATAGCTGTGAGCTGTAAGGTGTAAGCCATAAGCTTGCCTTAAGGGGAAGATCAGGGCAGCACAATCTTAGGTCTACTATAATCTACTCTTGTGCCACCTAGAGTCCTTTTATAAAAGTTCCAATATCAGCTCCTCCAGGATTCATGGGGGCCTTCTTTTCCTGGGTAAACTTATAATAGAAACAATAGTCGGTCAAATTACAGCTTCTGCTGCTACAGCTGGTCTCAAGGCCTCAACTGATACTAATCATCTCCATCCCTATTACCCATTCTCAATTGCCTTACCCTCCATCAGCACTTCTGCTACCTAAGTGGCATGATCCAGGCCCTCCTCTCTGAGGAGTCTGAGCCTCTGGACATCATGCCTTTCTCAGGCCATGGCTGCCATCTTTGTCCATTTACCATTAAAGTTAGGCAAAGGGGTGGAAAAAGTATTTTCCCTATCCTCATTATAAAACAGTAGCCTTACCTTCTCCTGATTATCAAGGTCACTTGCCCCTGACTTGATGGCAACTCCTTTCCTTGCCTACTCCCTTTGTACAAAGAGCCCACAATGCCTGGTAGCAGCTGAAACTCAATGTTCAATGGAACTCTTGTCAAGTCCACTGGTACAAGCACATCTCCTTTGGAAATCAAGACCTAATTTTCTAAATCCACAGAGCCCAGAGTTGTGGGAGCAGAAAGCCCTAATTCCAATTCCAACAAGTAGTTTTCTGGGAATGATGATGAAATGGGCCATTTCTTCTTTTACCTCTTGTTTCCCAGACTCATGTATTCTACCTATTTGGGACACAGCATTCATTTACCACTCTGACCTTACCTCATTACCATAGTTTCACCTCTTTTCCTTCTGATTGTTAAGCACTACCACCCTACTTTTATTATTCGGGGGATCTTATGATACTATTACTGTTAGTGAAACTAGTTCTTTATTAGGGACAGCCACCAATAGGTTCTGGGAGATGCTGGTGCCCTTTTTATTTTTTTTTTGATGTATCTCATATTGCTTTGAGAAACAGAGCATCTTCTGTGTCCTCTCACTAAATATAACCACATGGTGGACTTTCCACATTAAATAGTACATAGTATTCTTACATGCTCATTTTTCTGAGACTTTTGATCCACCCTCTGCCATAGCAATTCTGGTATTTCTGCCTTACATGATTTGAGCCATCAGTTTCTTCATGCTTTTCAGAGCCATCCTAACAACATGTTAGAACCCTCTCCTGGGGGTCTTGCCAGGTTGTTAAATTCTGTATCACAGACGAGTGCATTCATATTAACAAATCCTCCCTCATCCAACTTAATGTTGCATCCCCCTCACTTCAGCACTTTCAGAATCCACTCACATATGTATGCAGCTCTTCTGGTTCCTGGAGATCCATACTCCTCCTACATTTGAATTAAGAAAAAAAATAGTCCCTTTACATGTCTAGCACCTTCTTAGCCAATTTGTTCAAACTTTGGATGAAGACATGAGATGAAGTCTGCCTCCAGGGATGCAGGTAGTAACTTCAGGAGAGGGAGCCTTTTGCAGCCAAAGGTGATGCCTGAAAGAGCTCACAGCTGGGGGCCATCAGCCAGCAGAAGTCCTGACATGTAGGGAAATAAGTTCTTCAATAGCAAAGGGAGCTGGCTCTGAATGGCACAATCCAGCATCCACTACAAGTGTTTTCCCAACACCCTCCTATATGCCTGGATGACGATAAGACCTGTCTCCCAGGAGGTTAGTTCCTGGCAGCAGGAGATCTAACAGGTATGAAACTTCTCTAATGGAAAATTGTGCAATCAGACTATTACAACAGAAAGGGAATTCAGAATTCCATTCTGTCATAATGAGGAAACCGGCCTGGTGGTCAAGTGACTTACCCAAAGCTCAGATGGTTTATGGCTGAGACTAAAAGCTAGATTGATCTTGAACCCTGCTCCAGGCATCTTCTTGAGGTAGCTTTTAGCATCAGTTTACCCTTTTATAACACCTGTTCAATTCAGAGGTGGTACATAAATAGTAAGATGAAGACTTCTAGGAGCCCAAATTCCCATCCAGTAAACTACTTACACCAGGGTGAGGTGGGGGATGAACTCCCCCATTAGGCGCATCTCACTAGTGGCACAAGCACTGCAGATGAGTCTAACAGTCAAAGCGGGTGTGGTCTAATGCCTGCCCCTGGTATGCAAGGCTCTGGCTCGTTGTCCTGCAGGGTGAAACGTTCCTATAAAAACAGGAAGGAATTTAGTGGTTGCCTTATCCAACCTCCTCACTTTACAGGGGCAAACAATTTGTCCCAAATCACACTGTGAATTGTGATAGAGCTGAGAACAAAATAAAAGCTGGAGACGGTAAAATACTTGTCCTGCAGGAGTTAATCCTAACTGCTAGTGGGGAACAAACTTGTAACTTCTGTAACTGAGAAAGTAGAAACCCAAGAGCAGAGAGGACACACTAGAGCTTCACACAGAACTCAAATGCTGCCTCTCTCCAGCCAAAAGGCCCTAGATGGGGCAGATGGGCAGTTGCTGGTGATGCTTCACCAGAGAGAGGATGAAAAAGGAGAACAAATTCAGTTCAGTGTTTCCCACTGACTCTACCCCAACTGGTGTGTAAGTGTTTGTGTTTGCATGTGCTTACGTGTGCATGTGTGTGTTAGAGACAGACAGTGACCACTAGAGGTCCCAGAGCTGCCTCTTCCTGGGGCATTAGACCTCATGCTCTAGTCCAGCTCCAGCCAACCATCCGCAGCAGAGTCCAGACTTTCTCCTCTCTTCATGACTCCCCAGGATGGAAGAGCCCCTTTAGGATTCTCCGGGGCACATAGTCACGTCTTGATTATTGTATATTAGGGACAGAAGTATGACATGTTTGTGGGAAAGCTCAGTACACAACTGGAGCTTGCTCAGGGGAGGGTTCCCAGGATTGGGGAAGATTTGAAGCCCTGATCTAGATAATCAACTTTGAAAAGGGAAGCCCTAGGGTTGGGGTAGGTCAAGCGTGTTTCAGTTTGTCTGAGGGGTAGCCACGGAGACCTGTAGATGTCTCCAAAGAGCATGCAAAGGAATTATAGCAAGGCAGCACTCGGCTTTTCCTAACCTGTGGCCTCCTAGTACCTGTAGAGCTACTTAGCAGTGCTGAATGGCATAGTCTGCTCTTGGAAGAAAGTAGTTTCTCAACCCTTGAAATGTTCATAAACCATATGTCAGTAACATTGCCAGTGGGGGTTCTAAATTGGGCTGGAGTCTTCAAGAGATGGATGCTTAGGTGCCAGCCAACAAGAGATTCCCGAACACTGGCTTGCCTCGGTGGAGAAGCAAAGGGCAGAGAAGCAGCTCCATAAATAATACAAGCTCCTTTAGTCTCCAACTATTAAAAGTATAAGATTCTCCTCTATTTCTCACCCAGGCAGCATTGTGCTGACACTCAGTCCCACATATTTCTGCTTACAAACCCTAGGGGTTAGGATTCCACTCCCATCTCAATGCTGAAACAGTGCTCACAACTACAACTTCTCTACATAGAACCCTGAACGTACCCCTGTGAAGTCACCAGTGATTTCTTAGACTTTCAATGTGTTTATTTATCAATTTAACAGGTATTTAAAATGACTATTATGTTGTCTCCCCTCTCTAACATGTACTGCAACTTAAGCTAATAAGACAGAGAAAATTCAGAGATCACGTTTCAAGAGAATATGATGTCCTGGCTTCTGCTGACTGTGCTCATGTTAAGTGCTAGATGTTTATGAAAAGGAAGAGATGATCCCCTGGGGTCATTTCAGAGTCCTATACCTCCTTATTAAGAACGCTCAGAAAGAGAAACTGGGTTCAACCAGGAACCCAAGATACCCTTACTCCCACCTTCCCACTTTCAGGGAAATTAGGTTAGGAAAAAGAATTAGCCAATCACTTTTGAACATTAAAGTAATTCAAATAAATAACTTATTAATTAAATTACTGATAAAAGCTCAATTGCTGGCAGTTTGAAAACTAGATTTCTAAGAAGGAATAAGAAAATAGAGGAGACCTCAATCAGAGTTTTGCAAATAACCAAATCCCTGGTACTTACAGAGTACAGAGGTGTCACTCCCTACAATGGACTGAATATTTGTGCCCCTTCAAAATTCATGTTAAATCTTTACCCCCCAGGTGACGGTATGAGGAGGTGAGGCCTTTGGGCCGTGGTGATTAGGCCATGGGGGTAGAACCCTCATGAATTGCATTAATGACCTTCAAAAAATGAATTTGCCCTCTTTCTGCCACATGAGAATACAACCGGAAGGAAGCCCTCCATAGAATGCAACCATGCTGGCACTCTGACCTTAGACTTCCAGCCTCCAGATCTGCAAGAAATAAATTTCTGTTGTTTATAAGCCACCATGTCTATGGTACTCTTTTGTAGCACCCCACACTGACAAAGACACCCCCACAGCCAGTGCCACAGGTAACGAGTTGGAGTGAATGCAGTCAGGACCCAGAATCAACTGCAGCTTGGGGTCCGGGCCCAGAAGACAGACAGTGTCTGCGGCGGGCAGCCCGGCGCCCAGTCTGGCAGTTTTATAGAAATATGGCTCCTTCTTAGAGTCATAAAACACTGGGATGCACAGGACCCTAAGACTCTGAGAGCAATTTCCTCATTTGACGAATAAGGAAACAGCTTAGAGTGGTTTGACAAGTTGCTGACGTTCCTAAGGAAGTAATTGTCAGAACGTGACTGGGTCCCATTTTATCTGACCCCAGGGTCAGTGTGTTTAATCCATCGTATCCCACCATCTCTCTAAATACCTCTTTGGGTAAAGCTGGCACTCAGACAGCATTCTAAGGGGAAGCCAGCACTATCGCCATCCATCACCAGCCTGTCTCCCCTCCTGTGACCCCCTGGCACCTCTAGGAGCAGCAGGACCAGCTCTGTCTTCTGACTCCCCTGCAGCTCTGCCCCGGCTGCCTCTTCCCCAGAGGACTTGCTTTCCTCACTCTTTAGTGTTCATCTAAATGGTTTTCTTGAAGGAAACTCACCTAAGCAAGATGATTCTCATAATTCTAAGGTGGGTGCTTTTCTGAGCTTAAGCCTCCCCAGAATTTAATGCAAAGCATCTCTCTGGGTAAAATGCAGAGCTGTTTTGAGCAGGAATGATTCCCCTGTGGCCCTTACATTCCCACACTATTCCCAAGTCACAGCCTTCAGGGTGTGACCCTTTAAAGAGATTTCCCTTCCTCGGTGCAGAGCCTCTCTGAGAAGATAAGAGCCACAAAACAGGCAGCTCCACAGACTAAGGCAGTGCCTCTCAGAAGCCGGCTTCTGCAAGACAGGAGCCACGGTGGAGGAGTAATCAACTCTCCCTCCCATGAGGCAGCTGTGCAGAGGTCGTGTCTAGAAAAGAAAAAATGTCATTACTGCCCATGGGAGAGTGTAATGACCCAAATTATGGCCTGTCAGATGAGGCAGTGCTTGCCCCAGGGAGGCTGCTGCAGCAGGCACAGCTTACAGAGGAGGTAGGAAAGAAATGTGCCCCTGGGCAGCCTGGGGGACATGGGACTTTGGTTTCAGCTGCAGACTTCTGCTTGCCCATTCTGAGGCTATGAAGCCCCCTCCTGGGAGACAGGGCTTCCTGGGCTAAGGGGAGAGGGAAGCAGGGTAATACACACAAGCTACCCTTTAAACAAGGCCACTTGACGTGGCTAGTAACCATCCTCTTCACCAACATCTTTAAATAATTCTTCTTTTGTTGTTTATTACAGATTTTAATCTTCCAGAATTTTTATAGAGGATAGAATGGTATAAAAAAAATCACTCTTACTTGAAGTGATGTGGGGAGTGGAATAAAATGGAAATTGAATTCACACTAGAGACAAATAGGGCTGAGTCCCAGGCCCAGTTCCATCACTGGCAACCTTGGGCAAGTGAGTTTCCTCTCAGAGCCTCATTTTCCTCATAATGTTACTTTATACAATGGCTCTAGGGATTGCGCATCCATTCATTCAAAAGATATTTACTGAGCACTCATTCTAGGCTGGGGCATACTCTAATAAGTAAATAGTAGTGATTTTATAATAATAGTAATAGGAGCTGTTACTGCAGTTGCTGTAGAAGAGTCATAGGGATATGCATTGATTAAGTGTCAGACACAGTTCCAAGAACATTACATCATTAACCCTATGAGATTAACGAGCCTTTGCAAAGATATGGGGATCCAGGGACCCTCTTATACTTCCAGAGGGAATATAAATAGGTAGAACCACTATGAAGGGGCATTTGACATCATCTAGCAAATTTGGCAATGCACACACCCTATGATCCTACAATTTGGTTTCTATTTACATGCCCCGAGAAGCTCTTGCACAAATGAAGTAAGAAGCATATAAAAAGATGCTTATCATAGCACTGCTTCAACAGAAAACACTGAAGACAAACTAATGGCCCATAAACCAAATGTATTGTGTTTACAGAAGAAAATACTTCTTCAATCTATCTGTCTGTCTACGTAGATCTTAAAACCTAACTACAAGTGTTGCAAAAGGAAAGGTACATTATGACAGCATTGAAGTAACTCTGTAAAATGCACATAAACATTACCATATATGATTTTATGAGTATATCTATATGACGAAAAAAAGCAGTTATGAACATAGAATGATACTCAGGAAGCTAATGACAAAAATGAACTAATTTTAATGGAAAAAAAATAGACATAAAGGATTAAACCAACTTAATGGACCTAATCCATTGCCAGGCACAGGTTTGGCACTCAGTAATAACGATTATTTCTCCATACAAAGATGATAAAGGAATCACTCTGTTGGGATTTGACAGAGGTGTAAGGAAGAGCTAGATATTGACCAAGTAGCTGAGATGATTACCTTTGACATTGACTTCTTAGGCTTTTTCCACCTGTGCTTTGAGGGGAAAAAAATCTTTTTGATTTTAGTTCTGTTTCAACTCTAAGAAAATGATGATCTAAGAGAGTGTGATATATCACCCCAAAGAACTTTTCATTTTTTTTAATGCCTCTGTAGACTTTTAATAATGTGTCATTGCTTAGATTTTGGTCATATTGGCAAAAAAAAAAATTATTATTGTGTCCAAAGCCTGACAGAATGTTTCCAGGCGCAAACTTCTCCTTTTGTTATAAGGTGCAAGATTATCCACAAATATGAAGTCCACTGCCAGTTTATTTTACAGGCTGGTCATGAAGGAACATTTAAATTTATGAATTCTAGTGCCACGAATTCTACAAACACTGGAAGCAGAATACTGTTCTCATCATTTGTCAAGTGGAGTATGTTCTCAAAGATCATCTAGTTTTTTACTCAAAGTTTAGTCTGCAGATCAACAGCCTTGGCACTGCCTTGGAGCTTGTTAGAAATGCGGAAAATTAAATCCGGCTACAAAACAACTGAATTAGAATCTGAATTCTAACAAGATTTCCATGTAACGTATGCACACTAAAGTCTGCAAAGCAGTGATTTTGCCCAGAGGTTTCCAAACCTAGCAAGGAATGACATGGACTCTTTAGCATACAGATCCTTGTGCCTCACTTTCATTAATTAATGTTCTTCCATAGGTCTATAACGAGGTCTAGGAATATCTTTTTTAAATTTTGAAATGATTTCAAATATACAAAATAGTTCCAAGACTATTAAAAGCATCGTTCCCCACTCCCCCATCCTCATGTTTTCTACTCGAGATAATTTGAGATTAAATTGACAACATAAAGCCCCATCACTCCTGTAATACTTCAGTGTACATTTTCTACAGATAAAGACCTTCTTTACAACAAAAGTGCAACTATAATAATAAGGCAGCTAACATTGATTTGTTTACTAATTATTTCATCATATGACACCATTTGAGCTTCGCCAGTTGTCAGTACAATGTCCTTTATAACAAAAGCATCTAATCCAGGAATATGAGTTACATTTATTTGTCATGCGTCTTTAGTCTCTCTCCTTCAATCTGGAACTGTTCTTCAGCTTTTCTTTAATTTTTATGACTTTGACCACTTTTGAGGATCACAGGCCAGTTATTTTGCAGAAAGTCCTTCAGTGCAGGTTTGTCTAAAGCTTCTTCAATATTAAATTCAGGTCATGCTCTTTTCCCCAGAAATATCACATAAGAAATAAAGTGTTCTTCTTCTTATGTGCGTATGTCTTATTGCATCTTATCAAAGAACACATGATTTCCATGTGTCTTTTGACTGGTGTTATTAAACATGATCTCTGACCATGGGGATGATTGCCAGGTTTTTCCACTATAAAGTTACTCATCTTTACTTTATAATCAATGAATATTTTGAGGAAATGTATCCTGAGGCTACCATATGCCTCAACACATTTTTACTCACTAGTTTTAGCATCCATTGATGTTTCCTAGCTGAATTAATTAATGCAATGATTGTTGCTATATGGTGACTTTCAAACTCCATAATTCCTTCAACATTTATCAGTTGCCACTTCACTGTAAGGAAACATTTTCTCTTCTCTCCATTCGTATATCTATATCAGGACAGATTCAAGAATATATTTTATTCATTGGGTTATAATCTTTTGCTATCCTTACATATTTTGTTGCTCAAATTGTCCTAGATTTGACCAAAAGGAGCTCTTTCAAGCTGGGTCCTGTGTCCTTTTGACATGTTTCATCATTCACTGAGCACCTCTTTATTTTCTGGCACAAAAATATGTTTTAGCTCATCTAGTACTTTCCCTATCTCAGCCCTAGAATCAGCTATTTCTCCAAGGAGCCATGGTTCCTTTTGGTGAAGAATGATGTTTAGATACCAAGATATCAGTTTAGGTGTGTTCATTGTTATTGAGGTATCACTGCTACCACTTCTTCTCAGTGGTAAGAAATGTATGTGTGTATGTGTCTGTATCATATATACAGGTATGTATATTAATTTCTATACCTAGAAATTACATGTATCAATATATCTATAGATTGACAACTATGGGTTCACATGTCAAGCTCCAATTACAATTCAAGAATCCTGAGTCAATTCTAGTTTGTTTGTTTATTTGTTCATTTCCTTTTTGTGTTTCTAATTTTCTTTCCTAACAGTGAGAAGCATGACTCCCATAATCCCACATGTACTTACTTATTAGGAAAATCCCCTCAGTATGTAATCAATACACTGTTGCTGGTCACTGGCCTTTTTTATTTTGTAATACTTGGGCTTTTTGTTGAATACTCTGTCACCTGTGCTTGGATAAGAATTTGGGTCACTATTTTTTTCTCACTGCACCTTGACATACTGTATTATAGCACCTTGTTTACCCTGACATCCCTTTCATGTGCCATCTCCTTCTCAAGACTATCAACTTTTCTAAGCCTGAGCCCTAACCTTCTTTTTCTTCATATTCCCAGATCCCATCACAGACTCCTGCATGTTATGCTCCCATCCCCAGCCCCCACTGCGGAAGCTCCTCCCACCTCACTTAGGCTTCCACACCTCACACTGGGCTGCCACAGTTGCTGCTCCCCTGCAAAGACACCCCTCTCATCATCCTTCTGCACTGCCTCTGCTCTGCCCTTTAGGAACACACTTCTCACCATGCCAGGCTCTAATACCCACTGCCAGGCTGCACGATGCTTTCCTCACCCTGTTCGGGCTCTAACACACATGCCAGACTGCCATCACTGCCCCCAGCATTGCTCTTCACCCTGCTTGGGCTCTGACACCCCACACTGGGCTGCTGTAACACATTTGCCTGCTCAGGTTTCCTTCTCATCCCACTCGGACTCCAACATCGGGCTGCCTCCACCTCCACCCTCATCTCCTCTTGTACCAAAACCTCCTCACTCCACCTGGTCCCTGCTATTCCATGTCAGATCATGGCACCCTCTCCACCAGCATAAAGGCACACATCGCTTTGGCCTTGATTGCTTGGGCCCACCCTGAATTCCTATTTTTTAAACAACCTCATTTGGATGATTCTTATGAACAAGCCCAGCAGTGAACTTGCACTGGCATGTTGAGGTCCAGTTGGTAGTTCAACCTCTTACCCATTGCCATGATTCTCTACACCATGCTTAAGATTTCCTGTGGCTGCCTTTTGCCCAAAAACGAAGCTCACACAGTTCCATTCATGGGAAGGTCCTTTACACCTGAAGTTTTATTCCTTCTCATTTTCATCCCTATTCCTTAGTCTACTCACTTCAGACAGAGTCTAAATAATCACATTTTTCTCTAAATCTTCTCTTTTTTTATTTCTTCTTCTTTTTTTTGTTTTTGTTTGTTTGTTTGTTTGTTTAGATGGAGTTTCACTCTTGTCGCCCAGGCTGGAGTGCAATGGCATGCTCTCGGCTCATTGCAAACTCCACCTCCTGGGTTCAAGTGATTCTTCTGTCTCGGCCTCCCAAATAGCTGGGATTACAGGCATGTGCCACCGTATCCGGCTAATTTTCTATTTTTAGTAAAGACAGGGTTTCTCCATGTTGGTCAGGCTGGTCTTGAACACCCAACCTCAGGTGATCCACCTGCCTTGGTCTCCCAAAGTGCTGGGATTACAGGCGTGAGCCACCACGCCCAGCCTCTAAATCTCTTTTACATTCCTAAAATCTCTAGGCTCATAAACATTTTCTTATATGTCACAGTTTTTATATTCCTTGATATTTTAAAGCTTTTTATTGGGAATATTCTAGGTTGTGAATGTTCTTCTCAAAATGTGATTACTGTTATAGTGACCTCACCTCCTTTAACTTGAAATACATACTTCTACTGATTCATCCTAGGATTTATCCAATTTTCCATTCTATATATTAAACAAAGAGCTCACATTGAGCTGGCTGTCCTCTAAAACTCTTAGGCCTTTCTCTCACAAATCTCTTTATTTTATGAAAGAGAAAATGAATCTTCATATAATTCAAAGTGATTTGGCCTCAATGCATAAATAAGATGACAGGGGAAATACATAAAGTCACTGGCTTATTTTTATCTTATTCTAACATTTTGTATTTACTTACCAAAATATCATGTTCGTATTTCTCAGGTATTTATTGAGGACATTCTTAAAACAATCAAGCTTCTCAAAGTTCCCTTAATTATGGAGGTTATTGTCACTTTCGACAGAGCTACATTAAAAAGGAGAATCTCCAAATTAACTTACTTTGGGCCCATGATTTAGCAATAAGCCATTTCATTTAAATGAATTCTTAGGCATAGTCCCAACACATAAAACATATAAAAGGGATCTGCCCTTTTTGTAACTTGTAACACTATCTTAGCTTTATCCTTGTTTCCTGGAGTATTTCCCAGGTCCTCCACAGAATATAGAAGATTCACTGGATGGATTATCAAGGAGCTGCAAAATATATTGAACAGTCATTTTGCCACAAATAGCTGGCCGGAAAGTGCAGCTTCCATTACTAGCCTAATGGGTCCCCTGTCTGAGTGCTGGAAAATGTATTATAAACTCTAAACCTAGCGTCTGTCAGAATGAATTGGCTGGTCCTCAATAGTAAGGTGATGATTGGAATCACTTAGAGATGTCATAGAGACAGGCCATCCATCCAACCATCCATCCATCTATTCATCCATCCCTCAAAATTATCGTAAGGAGTCAAGATCCTTAAACTGGTTGTAGAACAAATATCTACATTTTTCTAAGGAATGTCATTAGCCAAGTCCTTTGGTTTATTCATCTTGAGTCTTATGGATGGTGGACACCATCATATCCCAGATGCTTTCCTGTCATAGTGCCAGATCAGGCTTTTGTTGGGAGGGGCTGGGTGGTGGTCTTTCCCATTTGGGTAACAGCCAAGGTATTCCCTAGTTTCCTGAAACTGCAATCACATTTGGTCTTTTCTAATAAGGCATGTTCTCTAGTTCAAGGTAAGGCCTCCTCTGATTTTCATCACTTATTTTTTCAGTCTTAGAGATACAGTTTCCTTCACCATGATTTTAAAACTTTTGGCTGATATACATGTCAAGTTTCTATAAGAAGGGGTTGACAAGGGAAGGGATACGAGCATTTATTAAATAACTGCTATGCATTAGTGTGTTATGTTCTTGCATTGCTATAAAGAAATAATTGGGACAGGGTAATTTATAAAGAAAAGAGGTTTAATTGGCTCACAGTTTTGCATGTTTTACAAAAAGCATCCTTCTGGCATCTGCTCAGCTTCTAGGGAGGCCTCAGGAAGCTTACAATCATGTGGGAGGCTAAGGGGGAGCAGGCACAATGCATGGCAAAAGCAGAAGCAAGACAGAGAATAAAGGGAGGTGCCACACACTTTTTTAAATGACCAAATCTTGTGAGAACTCACTATCATGAAGACAGTACCAAGCCATGAGAGATCCACCCTCATGATCCAAACACCTCCCACCAGGCCCCACCTCCAGCACTGGGGATTACATACAAAATGAGATTTGGGTGAGGATAAATATCTAAACTATATCAACTAGATAGTTTGCTAGTTGTTTTCCTACTTTGATTTATGCTTTTCTCATGGTTGGTGCCTGCTCACCTCTCAGACCTAGCTTCAAAGTCACCCATGACTACATGATCTAATTAGGTCTCTTTCATTCTATTTTCTAAATTTTAATCTAGTGTATTCCAATATAATTTTATAATTAACAGCTTATCTCCTATTTCCACTGAGATATAAGTTTGCTGAAGGCAGCAGTTATGACTGTTGGATAAGTTACTTATCTTGTGAATTTATTCATCTATAAAAGATGATGTACCATTAGGAACTCCCTCATAGAGTTATATGAGGCAGAAAATCCAGCTAAAAACATCTTTTTAGTATGTCTAGCCTCTCAAAATATGGGTAGACTCTAAGTCTAGACTTGGAAAAAAACAGAGGAAGGTGTAATTTGTAGCTGCCTATTTAATCCACATTTTCAAATTCAGGTTAGTGATTAATAAAATTGACATTAATCTAATCATTATTTCTGATTTTTTGGTCTATTTTCTTAATTGATCCTAAATTCAGACAAATAAAAAGATTTACTAAAATATCAAGCCTGATCTCTGGCCTCTGATGTAGGCAAAGTAGTAACGTAGATAGAAAATATCTGTCTTTTCACTGGGATCTCTGAGAAACAGGACATGTTTCCTAAACAAGGTGCTAAAACTTCAGGACCCACTTTTGGTGAGATTGGAATTAAACATGGGAGTTAAAAGGAACAGAATAGAAACAAGGATGACATCAAAAGTCTGGCTTTTAACTGAGTAATTGAAGGTTAGTTCAAATTAAGTTGTTTTTGTTTGGGTGTGGTAGGGGGCAATTGATGACTTCTGTAAGGAGACCCTCCTGATTCCCAGAGAGAGTACAACAGCAATAGCTCTTGCTCTACTGGCTGGGGTGTAAAACCAAGTTTGGAGTGTGGGTTCCAGCAGCAGGGACATCTAAGGAGCTCTGCTGGGTTGTCAATAATGCTGTGGTCTTTTTATCTAGGATAGTGGAAGGAAAAGCAAGATGACCAGGCATTCTTGGGACAGGACAGTGCCAACCAGCTTCTGGCCTCCAGACAGCTTGACTTTGGCCCCAGCTCTCCAGCAATTCTTCATAATCCTCCTACCCCCAACACACATTGAGAAAGGAGATGGTGTGGGCAAGTTTCATAAAGAACTAACATTTGAGAAGGGCACAAGGAAGCAAGAAAACTTGTCTGGTCCAGGAAGACAAGAGGCATAAAGGATGTTCAGTGGCCATTGAGCAGGCATTTATGTTTGCAGCAGGCATTTTGAATAAGGAAGAACTGGGTGATCAGTCTGACAATGTATTTAGAAGCTCTCTATTTTTGTGTGTTCAGAACAGCACATTATTATTTATTACATTCCAAATAGTCAAGTTGCATAATCTTCCTATTTCTTGCCACTCTGTTTTGTCTAGGTTTGAACAAATTATGTCTGTTACCGAAAGTCTTGCATAAAGAAAAAGTCATGTTTTCAAGGAGTGTATTCAAATAAATATTTTAAAAATGCAGAAAACACCTTTGAGTTACCATTCAAGAAGGTAGTGCAGGTTCACTGTTAGCTAATATTTGTGAAGAACTTATGCATGATACATGTTGTAGAATTGACAGTATTAATAGAGCGGGGTTTTATTTGATTTAACTTGCTCATTGCAAAGAGTCATGTATAGTCTTGTTGAGGTGCTATATAGCATTTTAAGTAAAATGGTGCTGCAGGGGAGACAGGACAGACTTTCCAATGTCTCCCAAAGGCAGCCTCAGCCTGCACCAGAAGAGTTCTGGGCATGAGAGGAAGACTGAACAAAGCCATGTGCAAGATGAGCCCATTTTAAGTGAAATGGCTGTGTGGAGAGTCCCATCAGCTCCTTTGCAAATGGACAAATCATAAACCTGCCTAATGACTTGGAAACTCAAAATTGCCCTCTTCATTTTAGAGAATTTTTAATGTTGTCCTCTCCAATGGGCACCATTAACAAAGACACCCTTCACTCCTCCACATGGGTTGCCTGGTAGGCAAGCATGTTTTCAGTAAGACCAGAGGGGAAAAGAACTCTCAGTGGGGGAAAGATTTGTATAGAGAGAGGAGCATTTGCTAATTTCTCCAACCCACCCAATCCATTGAGCCGGAGAGACTGCAGGGTGTGCAAACCACAGAGAAAGTAGAATTTATCTCAGCTGTGATTGCATCTTCCAACCATTTTAATCTCTCTTTCTTTTGACACTGTATAATAATACTTTCTTCAAGGAATGTTCTTTAATCTTATAATTTGAAAACAAATTGTATTTCAGCTGTCCTTCTGGTAAGCGACCTTTAATGGTTTTGCTATAGGTAAAACTGTCATTATGTTCTGCCTCCCTACTCAGCTTTCTGGATATCAAATTGCTCAGATGCTGCAGTTTTTGTCAGTGATAATATTGCCCTTTCAAAATTTCTCTGTAAGCAGGCTGAAAGGATTCATTCAGAGCAGTGGTTTCATTAATTTATTTAAATGCATTTCTCAAACAAAGCAGGTTAGTTGTTTCAAAATGTCAAGGTCTGGAAGCAGATTTGAAAATATTCTACAAAATACAATTGTCCAGGCTTTCTGGGGTAAAGACAGTAGAGACTTGTCAAAGAAGCAAACTGACATGTGGCCACATGCTGTTCCCAAAGGCCCCAGCAGTCTTGTCCAAGGAGATCAGCAGCATTCACGCTCGGCTCTGTGGCAGGATCGGGCTCCTGCTTACAAAAAGGGCTGTGTTGTAGCAAAATGGTTTTGCTGTGGATGAAAGTCAGCACTAATCTTTCTAATACAAATTGCCTCTCCCTTAAGGGAGTTGCTTGCAGCAGATTGTTTTAGCTTTGCAAAGTGACTAGGCCCATTGGATGGGAACCCAGGTGGAGTGAATTCTACTTGCTCAACTGGATGAATTGGGGTCTAGGGAGCTTCAAGTTGGAGGAAACAGAGGCACTGGACCAGGCAGAGGAAGATGAAATAGCATGTGTTGAAAACCTGCGTGAAATGCCAACAGGCAATTCTAAAGTATTGGCTGGAATATGTCATTTAAGAAAGGAGTAAAATATATCTTCTTCAAACATAGCTCTTATCACTCTGGATTTTCAATCACCCAGATGTTTTAGCTTTTCTCATTCCCCTACTAAAAAAGCAATGACTCCCTATTGTCTACTGAATAATATATAATCTTCTTAGCATGACATTCAAGACCCTCCACACTCTGGCATCAGCTTGTCTTTGAAATTGTAATTCCCATTATAACCCCCTCACACACATCGTACATACTCAAGTGAAATTAGATACCCCTCTGTTTCCTAATGATGCCAGGCTTTTTTTACCCACCGTCGTGCTTTTGTGACAGCTGGAGACCCTCTCCCCTCTTCACCCTCCTGTCAACCCCCATTGCTTCTTCATAGCCTGGCACAAATGCCTGGAAACTCACCCCATACTGCAAGGAAGGTCTTTACCTTCTGATTTTTCATGACACTTGGTAAGTCTAAGGCCCATACCATATCACAATGGACTGATTATATGATGATCTAGATATACACTGCACATTCCCTCTAGAGAACGAATGAACTCCCCACAGGCAAGACCAGTCCTTACCCACCCACCATCTCTTTACTGCGGAGCTTCTCAGCCCTGCAGCACATCTTAGTCATCTGGGGGCTTCATGGAAATACCAACACTGGGTGGCAAATGGTCTGAGGTTGGGGTCGAGGCATTTTTGTTTATTTTTATTTTGGGGTGTTTCTTTTTTTTTTTTTTTACCATCTGAACAATTTTTAAGTTTACAGTTCAGTAATGTTATGCATATTCACATGGTTGTACCTCCAGAACATTTTCATCTTGCAAAACTGAAACTCTGTACCCATTAAACAATGACCCCATTCCCCCCAACCCCCGCCCCAGCCGCCACCATTCTACTGTCTGTCTCCATGAATTTGACTACTTTAGATACCTCATGTAAGTGGATTCATACAGTATTTGTCTATTTATGGCTGTCTTATTTCACTCAACATAATATTCTCAAGGTTCATCCATGTTGTATACCATGCAACAGGATTTCTTTCCTTTAGTAAGCTAAATAATATTCCATTATAGTTATATGTTATACTGTCTTTGTTCATTCATCTGTGAGTGGACATTTGGGATGGTTCCACCCCTTGTCTACTGTGAATAATGCTGCTATAAACATGGACGTGCAGATGTCTTTTCAAGATCCCGCTTTCTATTATTTTGGCTGTATTCCCAGAACTGGGATTACTACATCATACGGTAATTCTATGTTCAATTTTTGGAGCAGTCATCATACTGTTTTCCACAGAAGCTGCACCATTTTATATTTCTACCGACAGTGTATAAGAGTTCTAATTTCTCCATATCCTTGCCAACACTTCTTATTTTGTTTTAGTGCTAGTAGCCATCCTAATGGGTGTGAGAGGTGTCTCATTGTGGTTTTCATTTGTATCTCTCTAATGATTGGTGACGTTGAGCATCTCTTCATGCTTATTGGCCATTTGTATATTATCTTTGGATAAATGTCTATTCAAGATCTTTGCCCATATTTTAGTTGTGTTATTTTTTATTGTTGAATTGCAAGATTTCTTTATGTATTCTACATATTAACCCTTTATCAGATTTGAAAATATGTTCTCCCAATCTGTAGTTTGCCTTTTCACTCCATTGATGGCGTTCTTTGATGCACAGAAATTTTTAAGTTTGATGCAGTCCCATTTGTCTATTTTTACTTTTGTTGCCTGTGTTTTTGATGACATATCCAAAAATTCATTGTCATACTCATTGTCATGAAGCTTTTCCCCTATGCCCCTATGTTTTCTTCTAGGAGATTTATAGTTTTTGGTCTCATGTTTAAGTCTTTAATCCAGTTTGAGTTAATTTTTGTATAAGCGATAAGAATGTCATTCTTTTGCATGTGGATATCTAGTTTTCCCAACACCAGTTGTTGAAAAAGCTCTTTTCCCTTTGCATGATCTTAGCACTTTTCGCAAAGATTATTTGATCATATAAACCAGGATTTATTTATGGACTCTCTATTCTATTTCACTGGTCTATGTCTATCTTTATTCCAGTACCATACTAATTTTTTTGATTACCATAGCTTGTAGTAAGTTTTAAAATTAAAGATTGTGACACCTCTAGCTTTGTTCTTTTTAAATATTTTGTTGTCTATTCAGGGTCCTTTGAATCCATATTTATTTTAAAATGAATTTTTCTAATTCTGAAAAAAATGCCACTGGGATTTTGATGGAGATTATGTTGAATCTACAGACTGCTTTGAGTGTGTAAGGTATTTATTAGAAGCTCCCCAGGAGATTCCAATGCATAATCTCCACCGAAAGCCAGTGATATGGTTTGGCTATGTCCCCACCAAAATCTCAACTTAAATTGCATCTCCCAGAATTCCCATGTGTTGTGGGAGGGACCCAGGTGGCAGTAATTGAATCATGGGGGCCAGTCTTTCCCATGCTATTCTCATGAGAGTGAATAAGTCTCACAAGATCTAATGGGTTTATCAGAGGTTTCCGCTTTTGCTTCTTCCTCATTTTTCTCTTGCCACCACCATATAGGAAGTGCTTTTCACCTCCCACCATGATTCTGAGGCCTCCCCAGCCATGTGGAACTGTAAGTCCAGTTAAACCTCTGTTCGTTCCCAGTTTCGGGTATGTCTTTATCAGCAGCATGAACATGAACTAATACAGTAAATTGGTACCAGTAGGGTGGGACATTGTTGAAAAGATTCCTGAAAATGTGGAATTGACTTTGGAACTGGGTAACAGGAAAAGTTTGGAACAGTTTGGCAGGCTCGGAAGAAGACAAGAAAATGTGGGAAAGCGTGGAACCTCCTAGAGACTTGGAGGGCTCAGGAGACAAGAAAATGTGGAAAAGTTTGGAACTCCCTAGAGACTTGTTGAATGGCTTTGACAAAATTGCTGACAGTGATATTAACAATAAGGTCCATGCTGAGGTGGTCTCAGATGGAGATGAAGAACTTGTTGGGAACTGGAGCAAAGGTGACTCTTGTTATGTTTTAGCAAAGAGATTGGTGATATTTTGCCCCTACCCTAAAGATTTGTGGAACTTTGAATTTCAGAGAGTTGATTTAGAGTACCTGGAGGAAGAAATTTCTAAGCAGCAAAGCATTCAAAAGGTGACTTGAGTGCTGCTAAAAACTTTCCATTTTAAAAGGGAAACAGAGCATAAATTTTGTTCAGAAAATTTTCAGCCTGATGATGCAGTAGAAAAGGAAAACTCATTTTTTTTTTTTAGGAGAAATTCAAGCCAGCTGCAGAAATTTTCAGAAGTAGCAAGGAACCTAATGTCAATCCCCAAGACCACAGGGAAAATGTCTCCAGGCCACATCAGAGACCTTCACAGCAGCCCCTCTCATCACAGGCCTGGAGGTCTGTGGTTTTGTGGGCTGGGCCCAGGGTCCCCGTGCTGTATGCCGCTTAGGGACTTGGTGACCTGTGTCCCAGCTGCTCCAGTTGTGGCTGAAAGGGGCCAACATAGAGCTCAGGCTGTGGCTTTAGAGGGTGGAAGCCCCAAGCCTTGGCAGTTTCCACATGGTGTTGAGTCTGCCCATACACAGAATTGAAGAATTGAGGTTTGGAAACCTCCATCTAGATTTCAGAAGAGGTAGGGAAATGCCTGGATGCACAGGCAAAAGTTTGCTGCAGAGGCAGGGCCCTCATGCAGAACTGCTGCTAGGGCAGTGCAGAAGGGAATTGTGGGGTCAGAGCCCCCACACAGAGTCCCTACGGGGGCATTGCCTAGTGGAGCTGTGAGAAGAGGGTCACCATCCTCCAGATCCAGATTGGTAAATCCACCAACAGCTTGCACCATTTGCCTGGAAAAGCCACAGACACTCAACACCAGCCCATGAAAGCAGCTGGGAGGGAGGCTATACCCTGCAAAGCCACATTGGTGGAGTTGACCAAGACCATGGGAGCCCACCTCTTGCATCAGTGTGACCTGGATGTGAGACCTGGAGTCAAAGGAGATACTCTTGGAGCTTTAAAATTTGACTTCCCTGCTGGATTTTGGACTTGGGTGGGCCCTGTAACCCCTTCGTTATGGCCAATTTCTCCCATTTGGAACAGCTGTATTTACCCAATACTGTACCCCCATTGTATCTAGTAAGTAACTAGCTTGCTTTTGATTTTACAGGCTCATAGATGGAAGGGACTTGCCTTGTCTCAGATGAGACTTTGGACTGTGGACTTTTGGGTTAATGCAGAAATGAGTTAAGACTTCGGTGGACTGTTGGGAAGGCATGACTGGTTTTGAAATGTAAGGACATAAGATTTGGAGGGGCCAGGGATGGAATGATATGGTTTGGCTGTGTCCCCACCCAAATCTCAACTTGAATTATATCTCCCAGAATTCCCACATGTTGTAGGAGGGACCCAGGGAGAAGTAATTGAATCATGGGGGCCAGTCTTTCCCATGCTATTCTCATGATAATGAATAAATCTCACGAGATCTGATGGGTTTATCAGGGGTTTCCGCTTTTGCTTCTTCCTCATTTTTCTCTTGCTGCCACCATATAAGAAGTGCCTTTTGCCTACCACCATGATTCTGAGGCCTCCCCAGCTATGTGGAACTGTAAGTCCAATTAAACCTCTTTTTGTTCCCAGTTTTGGGTATGTCTTAGCAGCATGAAAATGAACTAATACAGCCACCACTGTCTCTCTACAGTGGCTGACACAGTGCCTTGAGAATAGTCATTAAATGAGAACTTGTTTCAACTAATTAATCAGTTACTATCATGCCTTTTATAACTACTTTGGTTCATGAAGCAATGTGACATTGTAAAATTTGATTTAAAAGGTAAACAACAAACAACCAAACATAAAAGGCCAGCAAATGAGCCCATGATCAAAAACAGCCAGGCACTGTAAAATGATGAACGCTGAAAGCAGACCACATCTGTAACTAAGCCTCCTTCCCAAAAGAACATCCCTCACTGCAAGAATAAAGCATGTGGCTCCAGTGAAATGAGCAAAGGGGAAGATAGACATGAAATCAGAACCCAGCCTGATCATGGCCAGCTGATTCTGAACTCTCCCAGAGATTTTGTGAACCAGACAGCAGTGGAAATGGAAATGTCTTGTTAACCAGATATGAGTGGGATATTCCACCCAATATCCCATGAGTGGAATTTTCCAGAAGATCTCTAGCCTCCTATTCTACTCCCCAGGAAAGAATATGCAGACATCCACAGTTCTGGCTTAAAAATCAATATTTTTTCTTTCTCTCTTAACAGACTGCCCTTCCTTCTAGCTCGCTAAACTTTCCTGCAGCTTTCAGTGATGCACATGCTCTCTGCAGGCCTCCTTCCTTCTGGGAAGCCAGTACCCATAGAACCAAAGGCAGGGAAGTGAGTGGTAGAGACAGTGTTGCCTATTACTTCCTAGAGGAAGAAAAGAATGTGCAAATATTACTATGAAAGACACTCAAAACCTCTTATAAATTGTGAAACATTCTTTTACTTTAAATGTTTACTTCTTTTACTTTTACTTTTATTTTTTACTTACAAAATATGCATTTTTCACAAAGATAAAAACTAAAAGCCTACTGCTAATGTACTTAAATGCCCTGCGTTTCCATCCGTATTAACTGGGCAGGGTCCTGGAGGCTCCGGGAATTCACATCCCTCTGTCAATACAGCTCCCTCCAAGCTGCCTTGATGGAGCAGAGCTTACAGTGCACAGCTGCAAGTTAGTGAGCTCTCCAAGCAGAACCAGAACAATGATGCTTAGCAATTTGATTGTCTTAAAAGAAATCCTCTTGAAATACAGATCAGGCTCTCTTCTAAAAAGGGTATTAAGCCTTGGCTTGGAGATAAGAAAGAGACAAAGAAGGTGACTTTCTTTGGAAGTGCCCCAGCTGGGTCTTCAGCCATTGGGAGTTTTTCTTCTGAAGATAGTGTTGAGGGAATTTCAGGAGGCTAGAAGAGATCAGGCTCCCTGGACAGGACCCGATCAGTCACCCCAACCCACAGAGTTGCAGCTTCTTTATTTTACAATGATAGCTCTAACAGTCTAGTGTGTCCTGGTTGCTGTTGTTGTTGCCCTGGTCCTCATGACTTGGGCAGAAACAGGATGGAGTATAAATGGGTGTGTGTGGCATAAATGCTCATAGAAGGAAAGTAGAAAGAGGATAGGAAGGAGAGGAAGAGGAAAGGAGAGTGAAGGGGGAAAGGGAAAGAAAGAAGAAGAGGCAAGGATGAGAAAGAGAGGTATCACTGGGGCACTGACTCTGGCACATACAGGCTCATCTTTGGAGGGTATGAGTTTGCTGTGGGGCTAGAGAATTCAACTGCAAACATGGCTGGAAAGAGAGAGTGTTTTCTTCTGTGTGAAATATTGATAATTTTCACAAATTTCACTTCAGGCTAAATAATCAAGATCAGTGGATTTCAGCATTTTATGCTGAAAAACATCTCTGTCCTCTCATGCACATGAGGGAATCTGCTCTCCTAACCTACCTCTCTATCTGCTCATCCTCTCAAATGCAGCTCAGAATATATCTTCTTATTACAGCCCTCATTAACCACCCAGCATTAGGCAGTGATACCACCGGCCTCCTTCTCTGAACTTCTAGAGTATTATCAACTGTAAAATTCAGTTAGCAACGAATGAGTCACGTACTACATGGAGCTATCTATTTCATTGTTCTTGCAAAGTGCTATTAAATAAAGGATGGACATATGTTCAGGTTTAGCCCAGACAGTACATGTTTACACAGGTTAGTCCAGATTAATAATTATCACCTCCTTTTACTCTCACAAGTGTCTCAGTTAGGGAAGATAAAAAACATGGTCAGCCTATTTACATGTTAAATTCTATATCATTCCAGACTCCCTAATGAGAGTCTAAAAGCTCTTTGGGGCTCTCTGTCATTCTCCACACCAGTCTGGTTCCATATATTCTGTGCCCAATAGTGTCTTTATTGTGAGCATGAATCACCCTTTTTGTTTTAGAAAATGGAAAATGAACGAGTCCTAAAAACTTGTGAACACGTTGAATAAAAAGAGGGGAGTTTTCATTTTAACTTAGGCCCTTGTTGTTTTCATTGTTTAAGATTTAAAACACATCACATTCCAGAACTGAAGATGAGGGCAATTCCCAGACTTACATCTGACGTTTAAAGATAACAGTGAAGGAGAAAGTGCCAGTTCAAAGGCAGACAGAGTGTTCTGCCTGTCCTGATGCTTGCAGACTGCTCACCTCTAGCAAGTTCGGGCAGCCTAGGCTTCCCGGTCACCTTGGGTTACTCAAAAATGTATTTATTCAATTTCATTCTTGGAGTAATATAAGTGTACTGGCAAATAAAATGAGAATTTAAATGACAAACATTCTGAAAACAAAAATCTAGAAAATGAAATCTCTTCTCTCTTATTGAAACGTTATGTTCTCCAGATGAAAGTGAAAATCACCTCTTTTGTTCTCTGTCTTCATTTTCTTCTAGTGGGAGAAATAGGGAGATGGTCCTATTATCCCCCATCTATTCATCTACCCATGGATCCATATTTATTAAGCACCTATCATGTACAAAACATGGAGCTCTGTGTCTGACAAGTGATAAATAGACACAGTCCCTTCCTTGAAGTAGCTCATAGTCTAATATGCAAAAGAGATACCAAATGCTAGTGCAAACAGTTATGTAATTAATGTCTAGGTATTAAGGATTATTTCAGCAAGAGCTTAACAGAAATTCTTACCTACACTGAAGAGTCAGAAAGGACCTCACTAAACAAGAGACATTTAGGCTGAGACCCAAAGGCAAATAGGAATTTGGGTAGAAGAAGAACAGAGGAAGAAATTTCCAGGCATAAGTAGCAACTGGCACAAATGCCCTCAGGTGAGAGTGACTTGGTGACTTTGAAAAAAAAAATGTGCCAGGCTTGCTGAACAAGGTCGGTGAGGTACAGAAAAGGGGAAGACTCCACTAGGCTTGGCCCCTTACTCCAAGGTTTGGTTTCTTTCTTTTTCCTTTGATCGATTATCCCAAACCAGTTACCAAGGTCAACAACTAAACAGGTAGCTGAGGGAACATCAAAATCACTGCCAGGTCTTAGGGACTTTCAGTTTGGCTTACATCATTTTGGGAAACAATGACAAGAATTATGCTTAGTAGAACCCTGTGCCCTGGCAGTAACATTTTCGAAAGACAGGCATACCTAATCACCATCACTTCTGAACAAATTGCTCCACTTTTAAGCACTCCTCATCTCTCCAGGTCATGTTCTACTATTCTCTAGGAATAACCAACACATCAGTTATTAATTTTTGTGAATGCCAGCCTGGATGTGGCTGTGGTTTACTATGCTAAAGGCTACCAAAATAAAAATGGAAAGGCACAGTTTCTGTCTTTAAGGAGCTTCAAATGAGCAAGGGAAATATTGAAAATAGAGTTCTGGCATGGTAGATAGAAAATAGACTTTGGAGTCAGAGGCTTGGGTTGAAATGATGCCTCTATCACTTGTGAATTTTGTGACCTTACACAATTTTATTAAACTCCCTGAGCCTCATTGATTAATTTGAAAAATGAAGATAATATCCACCTGCCTCCTAGAACTGTTGGGAAGATTGAATGAAGTAATATTTTCGGATACTGTGTGTGAATGTGTGTACAGAGAGTAATATTTTCAGATACTTTGGGAGGCCGAGGCGGGCAGATCACCTGAAGTCAGGAGTTTGAGACCAGCCTCGCCAACATGATGGAACCCCATCTCTACTAAAAATACAAAAAATTAGCTGGGCATGGTTGTGGGAGCCTGTAATCCCAGCTATTCAGGAAGCTGAGGTGGAAGAATCACTTGAACCTGGGAGGCGGAGTTTGCAGTGAGCGAAAATCGCGCCACTATACTCCAGCCTGGGCAACAAGAGTGAAACTCCATCTCAAAAAATAATAATAATAAATAAAAATAAAATTAAAAATATTTTCAGATTTTGTGTGTGTGTGTGTGTGTGTGTGTGTGTGTGTGTGTGTGTGTGAATGTATGTACTCACTTCCAAGCAAGAAGAGAGATGGAGAAAAAATATCAACAGAAATTCTTCCCTACTCTTCAATATATAGACTGATGGGAACACAGACACATAGACAGACATCGTAATCACCATGTAAAATGTAGGTTTAACAATGCACAAAAAGATGATGAGTAAAGTAAAGGAGAGGCAGTGATGTAGAGGAAGGGACAGATTCAGGAGCCATCTCAGGTACATTCAATTATATAGATGTAAAAAAATTGAGATAAAATATTAACAAGGTTTTGTTTCATACAGACAATTTGAAATCATGTGAATCCCTGAATGCAAAATGCATGATATGGTTCTTTTCTAAACTATTAGGTCAAATGAATTGAAGCTTTGTTCATACTCTAACCAGATGCCAGTGACATGTTAGCTGGCAAACAAACATGGCTACCTGCAGAGGTTTAGTCTTAACTTCTACAAGTTTTCAGCTATGTATGGTCTTTATGAACCATGTCCTTTCAGGAAGTACAAGTTATCTTGCATTTGGGGTGTACGTGGGGAGAACTAATAAGACTTAGTCAATGAATGAGGGGCAAAGAAATGCTATAAGACAGAAGGAAGAGTAAAGTTTGACTTCTAGTTCCGTAGCTTCTGTGACTTGTTACCTGGCAAAACCATTTAATAAGATATCTTTAACCTGAAAAAAACAAGTTCCTCACTGAAAAGTGTGCAAAGATGTGTTGGACAATTGTGTGACAGGAATATTATAAATGAAATTCATATGTCTCATCAGCTATTGGACAAGAGGAAAACTAAGGCTTCCTCCAAGCAAGAGATTTCAAGATGAGGAGGTCTTCCCTGAACTTCTACTCAATTTCCATAATCCTCATTGTGAATACCTTTACTTTGGAACTGCCTGCATTGGTTAGCTTTTAGGACTCTCAGTGCTGCCTCCTTGTGGATTGTGAGCTCGCAGGGCTGCTGTTGTTAGTAATACTAACAGCAGCAGAAACAATAACGCTAATATTCATGTGGTCTTACTAGGTACCAAACACTCATATACTAACCCATTTAATCCTCTTCTAGACCTTTGTAGGAAAATAGTCTTATCCATATCTTACAGATAAAGACATTGAAAGGCAAAGGGATCAACTAACTTGCCCAAAATCACACATAAGAGCCAGGATTGAAACTCAGGGAGTTTCCAGCTGTCTCTGGAGTCTATGCTTCTACCCGCTTACTTATCCCACCACCCCAGAGGAGAGATGGATCTTGGCTTCCTAGCTCTGCAGGTATAGCATATGGTAAGAGTAGGGGTTCTTTGGAACCCAGGACCCTGGAACGTCTTTTTCCAGGATCATCTTCTTCCCTGTGACAAACGACCCTGATAGCATCTCAGGACTGTGGTTCCAGCAGTACTTGGAAGGGGCAGGCAAGCCCCTTAGAACCTCTGCTCTACTGAACTTTTCTTTTTGTGCTCCTGGTCTTTTAATCTCCTGGGACCCAGGGTTAGAAACTGCCAATTTCTGCAGCTACAACACCATTCCAGATTTTCTCTTATTCATATGACTAGGCTAGTTCTGACTACCTCTGGACTAAGAACATGTTACCTTTGTTTTTGTTTTTGTTTGTTTGTTTGTTTGTTTGTTTTTTCATTCAGCGGGAACTAACTCAGAGAAAGAACAATAAAATACAAAGTAATTTTTAAACTCATGTATCTACTCTCTAATGTCATCATAATGATGATGACCAACTATTTAGAAAGACCAGGTGGGTGTAATGTTTATTAGCAGTTAATATCAGCTAGACGTCTGTGCTAGGCACTCTCCCTGGTGTAATATGTGTGGAAGAAGGTATTACTTAGAAAATCCAACTCTCCATAGCTTAAGTAAAAGTAGAGACGAATTATTAAAATGCTGCTGGATAATCTTAAAAAGCATAGAAACTGGAATACGACTAGATCTCAGGAATAAATGGAACAAGATATAACTTGGGATTCATTGCCCGGCTCATATTCCCACTCCTCTCGGCACATCCACTACTCATCTCTTCCTCACTTCCATCCTTACTTTCTTTCTTCTCTTTCTTCTTTCCTCCCTCCCTTTCTCTCCCCTTTCTCCCTCCTTCCCTCCTTTTCCCCCTTTTTCGTTTTCTTCCCTCCCTCCCTCCTCCCTCCCTCCTTCTTCCCTTCCCTTCCCCTTCCCCTTCTCCTTCCTTCCTTCTTTCCTTCCTTCCTTCCTTCTTTCCTTCTTTCCTTCCTTCCTTCCTCTTTCTCTCTCTCCAGGCCAAATTCTTGTGCTTCTCAGGTCCACATGGCAGGAAGAACGGCTACTCTAACATCTCCTGGACTATGGTTTTGACTGATATAGGTCAAAGAAAAAACCTCACCCAACTCCCTGGCTCCCAAGTCTGAACCTTGAGCCAATAAGCTATGGCTAAGGAAAAGAATCACTCTATCAGCACAGTGACTCTCATATGGCCACATTAAGGATGAGGAGAGACAATTATTAGAGAAGAGGGGCTGAAGAGACAGCCCTTTGAGTGTCATTTACAAGTAGCCACCACACCAATAATGTACCTCGAAGTTGTCCTCTGTGAGGTGAAGTGTGCCAAGAAGCTTTGTCTAATGTACATGAAAACCACAGGCATATGCTTTGATTCACATGTCCACAGCATGCATACATTTGGTATTCTGTAATAATAAATAATTATTGCATATTTAAGGCCTGACAAGAGCACTTAGAAATCACAATATTCCTCTAAGGTAGTAGTGCAATTGTCTCTACTTGAGAGAGAGGAAACGGAGACTGAGCTTTAGAGAAATGAAGTGACTTGCTCAAGTTTATATAGCTGGTACATTCAGGACTTGAATCAGGCTCTATCTGACCTTAGACTCAGCACTCTTTGCCATCAAGACATTCTCTTTTTAATTGAGAAAACATAGATTAAGCACTAAGCCAAATGCCAAAATTATATATATATATATATATATATATATATATATATATATATATATATATATATATATATATAATACAACCACCAGCTGTGTAGATACAAAATTTTGACTTTGATTCTTCTCACCCGATCAAAATGAAAAGCTGACACTGCCCACCTTATTAACCTCAAATGACTTCAGAAGGCATCCAGAAAAGAAATCCTGCTACTCAGCAGTCTTAAGAAGAATCCAACACCATGAACCTTTTTTTGCCTTGGCTTTCCAAGGAGGTCTTCTAAGTCCTTAAGAATCAGAGGTAATTCTATGACATGAACTGTCACTTACAGAGAAAGGTCAAATAGCAGCCTAACCCCTATTTGATACCATTCATGGCTCAGGAGGCATTTGCTGTGGTTGGAATTCTAAGTGCATGGCATGACTGAACTCAGGTTTTGCTATTTCTGTTTTATAGGTGAGAAAATTGAACTCATGAATATTTAATTTGGCCTGTCTAAGACCAGAATCACAGACACCTTTCAGATAAATAATAGGGCAAGAAGTACTGGAAAATCCAGTGTCAGGTATCGACAGTCAACAGTGGGTGCTGAGAGATTTCAGAGGTAAGACCCATCCCGCTGGCCTGGCTCCTCTTTGCGCCACAGAACCCTGTCCTCTCCTCTGTGGAGATGGTTATCAGACTGCCTTAAGAATGCCTGTTTCTGTCTCCCTCACCAGCCTGCGTCTTTGTCATCATAGTATTTCCAACATCTAGCAGCATCTAGCACATAGACACTAGACATGAAAGGCAAGGAGGGAAAGAGAGGAATGGAAAGGGAGGGAGGAAAGAAGATAGGGAGGAAGAGAGGGAGGGAAGGAGGGGGAGGAAGGGAAGAAGGAATGGAGGGAAGGAAGAAAGAAGATAGGGAGCGGGGAGGTAAGGAGGCAGAAGAAGGGAACAAGGAAATGAAGTGAGGGAGGAAGAGAGGGAGGGAAGCAGAGAAGAAAGGAGATAGGAAGGGAGGGGAAGAAGGGGAGGAGGTAATGGAGGGAAGGAGGGAATAGTGGGAGGGAGGAAGAGAGGGAGGAAGAGAAGAGGTATTGAGACATCCATACAGGCTTCTTGCAGGAGAAAGTACTCAGTCCATCTGTTTTAACATCAAGGCAAGTTTTTGAGCAAGGCATCTATAAACCTTGGTGAAGATCTAGTTGACACATGCAGACCACTAGCGCTGGCAAAGAGACAATACCCCCTGAGTGGCCACTGGACTCCTTGATCTTGGCAGAGAAGAGTAGGGCCTGTCCCTAAAGGCATACAGGCAGTGGCTGGCGCTTCCCCTCTGTGGAGGGAAGAGACATGAAAGTGGAATCACTCCCTGGCCAACATTGTTTGTCTGGAAACAACCGGCCGAGGAAAATCTTCTCAGCCTTCAAGGAGATCCTCCTAGTTATGCCAATTAAATTTCCATTTCTCATGTACCTTCAGCGACTGTCTTCAGAGAAACCTGAGCCCACAAAGCAGGCCCTCTGACCCTACCCAGAGAAAGAGTGTTAATTGTATATCTTCTAGCTGTGGGGCTTCAGTCATGTAAACTGAAAAAGTAAACCTAATTTGAGGGATATGTAAATGACAAACTGAAAGAATTAATATTTAGCTCTGTGAAAAACACAGCTTTCCTCCTCATTATGAAGGCTGATTTTTCTGTAACCAGAGGAAAAATGAATTGTTGGAAGCTCCTCAAAATGTGCAGCTGAGGATGCCTTTATATTAATGAGGAAAGTGATGTTGATTAATAGGCAGCCCAAAATCCAGAAAGAAGGTTTCCTCCCTTCCTGCCAGCCTGGAAACAAGTAGCCTAGCGAGGTCTCCAGGCAGAACGAGAGCACAGTCCCCTGGGTCTGCTACTGGCTGGGGCACTTGGAATCTGATGATTCTCCTTTCAATTATACTGACAAACATGGCTAGGCTTGAACAAATTAGCCCCCATGAATTAGACTGCATTATTATAGAACTCCAGATCTTCTGAGCCTCCCTGACCATAATTAATCAGGACCCCCCTATTGTAGCCCACGGCTAGTCCAGGAAAATATTTTCTGAAAGTTTAGCTAAATAACAGTATTGATTTTTATCCTTAATACTTTCTTCTGCTCATCAAATCTCTTACACGGACTTAGTGAATTTCACGTTTCCGTGGCTCTGTAGCTAGCATTGTGTAATACGTCCTTTAACACAATCAAGCAAGGGACTAAAATTCCCATTTTACAGAACAGGAATGTAAATCACAGGGAGGCAGAAGTAGCTTGATGAATAAGAACTTGAGTCTTCTGCCTCCTAGACTAGCAGTACTTCTCTCTAACAATGGCTTTGAAGATCACCTCTGTCTAGGGAAAGAACTTCTATCTGATTTTGCCACCCTCTGGGTCACACAAGCCAGGGGCAACTGGGAATGAAAGCAAAGTATTCATTTGTCTTTTTTCTCCCAAATAAGAAGGAAAGCAGCCTCCTCTTTCTGGTTCATGGTCTGCACACTGGCCATTCTTTGTTCTTCCCTATAAAAAGAGAGAGTTTACTGTCAAAGATCAGAGGCCAGACTTCATATGCTACCCAGCTCTGGGCACTGCAACCTGTCCTCAATTTCAGGTAGCCTTTAAAAGATTGGTGACCTCTGAAGCTCATGAGACATATGTCCCTGCAGTGGATGAATGTCCTAAGCAAGCAAGAAAAGCCTTGGTAGGGTATGGAAACATTCTTTGGCCAAGAGTCCAGCCTGCAGAGATGCAGCTATAGTGAGACCTGAAGTTTATGTACAATTTTGACAGCCCATTTTAGAAATGAATGCAGTTACAAAAACAAAATTTTGCATAAAAGTGAATATGTACTTATAAAGAAAAGACAAAGTATATCATAGCACGCAAATTTTAGAAAACTGACAAATACCACAAACATCATAAAATGAAGATAAAGCACACAATATTTGTATTAATTAACTGCCTAACATACTTTTTTTGGTACATTTCCTACATTTTCAGCTGTACATGCCAATAATTTTATGACATCATTTTCAAGGCAGGGAAGGAACCATAACTTAGTCTTTTTCTCTTCAGGTTTCTCCTCCACTGCCCGTCGGCATCCAGTGCCGGGCTGTGTAAGACATATTCACATGGCAGCATAGCTTCTGGCCTCACATCCTCCTGCCAGCACCAGGCAGGTCATCTCAGCAGGTGGCAAGAGCATCCTGGAAGCCATTCATGCAGCAGGACAGTCAGCTACAACTTACCTCTGCCAGGAAGTGACTTATGTGTGAATCACAAAACCCCAACTCACTGTAATTCCAATGCAACTCTCCCCTTAGCTGGATCCCAGAAATGTCTACAACTACTCCACCAAAAACAAACTAATAGGATTTGTCTGGAGAAGTTGGGGAGAAAGAAAGAGTGGCCTTAGCTGACTGCATTTAAAATATCTTAATGTCACAAATTTTGAAAAAATGATCATTTGATCATATTGCTAAGACTCCTCCCCATATATTGAAAGGGACTCATGCAATTGCAGAACCCTATACTGTAGCTTTATTATCTTCATGGTAAAATTACCTCTGGGTCTCTTCTTAGTCTTCCTGCCCCAGAAGCAGTGGAGAACAAGGGGGAACTCTGGAAGAAAATATCTCTAACAGATCTGGCATTACCTAAAGCACCTAGACTCTAATCCCAGGCCCAGCTGAAAATCTCACTCACGCATGTCTGGGCTGAACAGACCTTTGTTACAGTAGGTTGCCATCCTCACAGCAGATCTGGTATACAACCACAGGCTGAAGTTCTCACTCTCTCCCAGGACCTAATAGGCCCACTCACCTCTCTCACAACCACACTTTTTCTAGGAAGGAGGCATTCTGGCTGTGCGGGTTCAGTATGTAAACAATTTAGCCCAAAACTTGATTCTCTATTTGGTACCCAATGATCCCTTTTGTTTATATAAGAGAAATGCATAGCTGGGCATGGTGGCTCTTGCCTGTAATCCCAGCACTTTGGGAGACCGAGGCAGGTGGATCACTTGAGGTCAGGAGTTTGAGACCAGCCTGGCCAACAGGGCAAAACCCCATCTCTACAAAAAATACAAAAATTAGCTGGACGTGGTGGCGTTCACTTGTAGTCCCAGCTACTCGGGAGGCTGAAGCAAAAGAATCTCTTGAACCCGGGACGCGGAGTTTGCGGTGAGCCGAGATCATGCCACTGCACTCCAGCGTGGACGACAGAGGGAGACTCCATCTCAGGAAAAAAAAAAAAAGAAGAAAGAAAGAGGGAAGGAAGGAAGGAAGGAAGGAAGGAAGGAAGGAAGGAAGGAAGGAAGGAAGGAAGGAAGGAAAAAGAAAGAAAGAAAGAAAGAAAAGAAAGAAAGAAAGAAAGAAAGAAAGAAAGAAAGAAAGAAAGAAAGAAAGAAAGAAAGAAAGAAAAAGAAAGGCAGGCAGATGCATGATCCTCAGCCCTAGGGTTAGGCCCTGACTCCTACATAAAATGCAATATGTCATCCTCAATATGAATGAATACATGCACATGTAATACAGGTAGAGGCATACCATTAAAACAAAAAGTACTTTAGGAGTCTCCACCTACCCGATGGTCCTCCCCATGAATTTCATAGTCTTGTTTAAGACAGAGGATTTGAATAGCTGTACATCTACTGATCTGCTTCTCTCTTATTTATGTCTTTAGTTAATTCAGTGGTTCTCATCCAGTACACAGGAATACTAAAGATTGTACATTTAAAACTTTGCATATTTTAATTTATGGGTAGCAGAAAGGTTTTAATGTGAAGTTTTAATGATATATGATTTTCACCTTACTTGTTGACTTTTGAACTTGACCACCACACAAAATGTGACTTCACAGTATTTTTGTTCATTAAATCAAGAAAGTAAATAATTTCCAATGAATAACTGTAAGATAGACACTTTGGTCCTATAACCTGGGGATGAGGAGAAGCAGAGTGGAAGCAATAGTGTGCAGCATTCTGATAAACCTCCCTAGACACAAAAAGGAAATTGCATCTCTAATCTCAGTATCTGATTAAATATGAAAGAGAGACGGGGTGGTGAGGAAACGTCACATAATCTTGGATAACTCTTGAAAGGAGGGCTTCAAAGCTCCACATCATAGGACTTTTAATTGAGATTCCATATTTCTCTTATGAATATGAACTTGTACATTACTCAAGGAAATTACATTTGGTTATAAACATTGAAAAGACGAGTTTTTTATTTTTTAATATCTGTGTTATTCAGATGGTAATGAAAATCAGAAATTTCAAGCTGGCAAATAACAGCTAAGAAGAGTACAGTGGGGAGCCTAGAAGTCAATGTGTTTACCCAGTTATCTGGTCAAATCTCACTAAAGGCAACTCCAAGAGACCACCACCTGCTTCCTATTTTTTCCTTCTGTTTCTAGCAGATATTAAACTTAGATTTCCTTTCATTTTTATTATCAATTCTTCTTTTGTTATGGGTTGTTTAAATGTGATTTAACTCACATACGCAGTTATTCTACTTGTTTTTGATGATTGGTTTCCAATTTGATTTTATTCATTCATCACATCAACAAATGTTTATTCAGTACCTACTATGTACCTGATGCTCTTCTAGGCATTGGAGATACAGCCAGGAGCAAAAATCTCAATGACATTCTATTACATTAAATCACATGAAACTGCCACACTTATAGGTCAATAATAGTCAAGAATCAATATTCTGACATGGGCCAACCTAATGTTGGGGAAACAAAAAACATAAATAGAATTGGTAAGGATTTCTGTAGTGTTTTAGAACCTCTTCTTAGGTTATAGGCTTTTACACAATGGGCTCTTATTAGACCCACCACACAAGGTGAACTCTTTGTATTGACTTCTTATCCCAACCTTAAAATCTGAAGCTCATCCCAGGAAGCAGTAGGTGGCCTCAGTGAAAAAGTTACATTCTGTAATTTTCTCACCCTCTTACTTCTGCTTTCATGCTTTTTGGGCCATATGAATGTAACTTTCTTATTGGCTCAATGATGGACTTTTAAAGCATTTATCATTCTTCTTTCAAGAGTTTTGTGGGTTTTTTTAATAGGAGGTTTGAGAGAAGACTAGTTTAATAATATCTGAAATAAAGTAAGCTGGCGGTGCATATCGAGAACATTTTTATTATCCTATTACTCTCAGTATAAGATATGCTGAGAGAAGACCACATGCCTGATAAACTAGACGCTTGTTCAGTTTTGATGGTTCTGGCTTTTGGTGGGGTGTTCCTTCTAACAGAATTTTGGAATTAAGTTCTCCTGAGAAATTTCAGGACCTTCTGTAGCCCACTGATGAAAGAACTTCTATGAGAGTTACAATACGCCCATATATTTCTAAAGGAAGCTATGTCTGGTATAAAAGGCAAAAGAGAAAACTGGCTTCCCAGAGATAACAGATATTTAGAGGCTCTTGCAGCACTGACAGAGAGTGCAAAAAAATCCCTGAAGCTAGAGGGAGGAGGCTTCTCCATTTACCAGTTTCGTAATCTTTGATACATTCTTAACCTACCCAAGCCACAGTTTCTTGCGTATAAAATAAAGACAAGTTCCTCCATTCCACAGATTGTTAAATGAGAGAACATACGTTCAAGTGCTTTGAACACTAAATATAGTTTCTGCTAAATATATAGAAAGGCAATTTTCAAAATGGGAAAATAAAATTTCAAGCAAAAACAAGAGTGCAGTGGAGCGGGCAAGGGAAGGCAAGGGAAAAGGGACAGTGGTCGCAGAGCGCACTGTGTTGCTGCTGCCCCTGTGCCAGCCCCTTGAGTCTCAGTGAGGCCAGTGATGCTCCAGAATATGAGGCAAGCCAATTTGGGAGCAGATTGGACCCAGCTTCATTCAACATTACTACCAGTTATTTGATTACAATACAACCCAAGTAGGTGCAATTTACATTGACATGTCACGCCTTACATGGGAAGGACAGCTGTTCCAGGAGAAAACTAGCCTTCCCTTCTGTTCCAGAAAATCCAGCACAGCATCATGGTGCAAGGTCATCAGCCTGGTAGAGTAGGCAGATAGCTAGAAATGAGCAGGAAGGAAGAGCCCCTGAGAAAAGGGAGGTCTGGAAAATCTCACACCCCAGGGACCATCCAAAACATGCATGCTAGATATGAGCAGAGAGGAGGAGAAATACCTCTGCAGAAAGGAACACCCCTTAAGATGCCCAGTAATCACTCACTCTGCAGTTAACTGGTCAGAATGTAGCTAGCTACATGCTGATAAGGCAAAAAGAAGGCAACAGAAAAATTCCTAAGAGATATGCAGGCAGAATACATAAGATTTGAATGCTATACAACCTTCCTGGGGTGGCAGTAATGAGCAACGCAGCCATTCAGTAGAATTCCTATCCAAAACTGGGCCCATGCATGTGCACCAACTAATAGTAACGATAAAGGAGATAGAAAGAAATTATTTAGGCAGATAGTGAGGGGGAAAGAGTCCTCGGCAGAACTTCCCTTCTAACAGAAAAGCAGCCCTAGACATTACTTCTTTTCTAGCAAAGAGCAGCCTGAAAGATGGAGCTGCAAACATAGATAAGGAAGCTAGAAGCTTGCACAAGGGGAGGCCTGCAGCTACATCAACAGGGCTACCTGGGGGCCAGGCATGTCCACCATAGGGGTCCGCCTTCCCTTTTTTGTTAGCATGTGTACAATAAGAAAGAACTAGGCAACATGGAGATGCTCAGACAGAGAACCCACCTGCATAATAAAAGATTGGGGTGGGGGGTGTCGAGATTCACACCCTATGCAGATGGCCCTCTTGTTTTTTGCACCCTATGTAGATCAGACACTGCCTCCCCACTAGCTCACGTATAAAAACCCCTGCATTTCACTGTGGATGAACAACTCATTTTCCCAGGACCCCTCTCTATAGCAGAGCTCTCCTCTTTCTTATGCCTATTAAATTTCTGCTCTTAACCTCATTCTTTTTGTGTCTGCATCCTTGATCTCCATGGCCATGAGACAAAGAACCTCAGGTGTTACCCTAGACGATGAGGCTGCTTCAGTAAGGAAAGGTCCCACAAGCCTGGGGTGGGAACTAGATGGGAAAACGGGGGACTTAAGGCAGAAGCAGGAAAATTAAACAAAGAAAAAAGGCGGAGACTTACAACAGAGGTGGGAACTTCAAGAAAAAATCTGGTACCATAAAAATTGAGTGCAGAACTCTCAGAGACTACTGGCTCATTCTCTTTCAGCAGCCCACTCTGCCTCGTCTTTCAGAGTATCCTGTCTCTCTGAATAAACTCTCTGCTCTCTATTTTCCTTCAATAAATTATCTTTCTTTTGGAGGTGGGAGTGCTAAATTTTCTCTTGGCAGAATTTTTTCTTCCAAGTAAGACTAAGAAACAAGGATTCCTGCACTTCCCAGTAACAGGCCTATACCAGATAGCTGCATCCTCAGCATGGTTGTAGGCCAACTTAAGGCAGATGAAGACTCCATCATAGGGTTCCACCAGATGTTCCTATTAAAGAACATCAAGAAGGTGTGGGTTCGCACCAATGACATGTTCAGGCTTGCCCTGCGCAACAAGGGCTGGCCTCCTCCCAGCCAGGCACTCGTGCTGTTTCCTCCTGCTGCCTCTTCCCAGTACTATTCACACTCCTCTAGTTGCTCCAAATATCATACACAAATGAGCAGGGCAGTTGTGGGAGTGGGTACGGTGCACTGCTGCCACCGACATGTTCATGATGTTTGGTTGCTAGACAACTTGCATAGGACTGGAGAAATTTGTGTTGTACTAGCACATGCCTTAGAAAGGCTTAAGTAATGCAAAGGTTTGTCCTTTTTTTAAAAAAAAAAAAATCTACTGACAAGTTGCTCTAATTACTCAAGGAAGTGAAGGAGAAAGCAGCTGCCTCACCACCCAGACATTGATTTTTTTCAGATATTTCAATGTCTCATGATACAATAAAACCATAAGGTTTTTTAATAAGAATTAAAAAAAAAAAGAAAAACACACTCTGATCTTTTTAAAGATAGAGTCCCCAGATGGCTAGACAGAGAATTTCTAGGCAATTGGAGAAGGAAGGATCAGTGAACTTGAGCATGAATTCACAAAGAACAGCACAGAACCTGTATTTATACACTGCTGGTATTTTAGGGTTTGCGTTTTTCCATGGCAAAGTGGGAAAAGGCCAAATGAAGAGAATACGCTGGTTTGCAAACAAAACAGCTTGAGTTCACATCCTTCTTCCACCACCTCCTCAGAGTGCGAGTCTGGGCAAGTGAAACCACTTGGCAGAACCTCTGTCCCTCATCTGCTAACAGGTAATAAAAATGCACATAGATTCAACACACACAATCCATAAAGTGTCTGAATATAAAAGGGCTCTATAGATGTAAATTCATTCTCCATCCTACATAGTATCACATATAGTCTTCATATCAACTCTGTGAGTTGGATTTTTGTTGAAGAAACTGACCTGCCCAAGGAAACATTTAGGCATAAGTGGCAAAACCATGGTACAAACCTAGCTCATTCTTATGTTGACTACATGTATTTATTTCTACTATACTACTATGGCCCTCACTGTAATAGATCAAGGCTGTGTAACTGGTATAAGGGTGGTGGTTTTAAATAGAGTGACCAGATGTCACCTTCCTGGAGAAAATGGAGATAGGCTGCATGAAAGTGTTATCCAGGTATTTAGATGATTCATCACCTGGCCCTGGAGTAGATTAATGACCTGAAGTCATCTTGCAAGTGATGTATTTTTCTCATCCTTTGGGTAAAAAAGTTTCTTACCAATGCATCATAGATTATTGCAATATCCACTCATGAGGTTCAAACACTATGATATCAGCAATGTAATGAACTAGGATGATCTGCCTGAGAACTAGATTATAACAAATGGCTAGAGAGTTGATGTTGCCTGAGGTAGTACAGTAAAGGTATATTGTTGGTCTTACCAGATGAAAGCCAAACAACTACTAAAGGTCTGTACTAAGATGCATAAAGAAAAGGGCAGGTCAACAGCTGCACACCAGGTGCCAGGGAATGTGCTGATTTGCTTCAGCAACGAAATCACATCTGGAATAGCAGCTGCAATTGGAGTCACTATCAGATTGTGTTTGTGATAATTCACTGTCATTCTCCAAGATCCATCTGTCTTCTACACCAGCCAAATAGACAAGTTGAATAAAGATGTGGTAGGTAGGCCAGGTACAGTGGCTCACGCCTGTAATCCCAGCAGTTTGGGAGGCCAAGGCAGGTGGATCACGAGGTCAGGAGATCGAGACCATCCTGGCTAACACAGTGAAACCCCGTCTCTACTAAAAGTACAAAAAATTAGCTGGGCGTGGTGGCGGGCACCTGTAGTCCCAGCTACTTGGGAGGCTGAGGCAGGAGAATGGCGTGAACCCGGGAGGCGGAGCTTGCAGTGAGCCAAGTTTGCGCCACTGCACTCCAGAGCCTGGGTGACAGAGGGAGACTCCGTCTCAAAAAAAAAAAAAAAAAAAAAAAAAAAAGATGTGGTAGAACTCACATCTTACTTCCTTCAGGTCTTTGGTAGTGGCACCAATCTCTGAAATTTCTCCAGGCATGCATTGTGCTTTAAATCAGCAAGCAGTATATGGTGCCGTTTCTTCCTTAGCCGTTTCATTCCTTATCCTGAGATAAGGGTTTTGAAAGTGGGAGTGATTTCTCCTATTGTCATTCCTAGTATTCCACAAGAGAAAGTTTTGATTTACCCCCAACTTTGGCCCTCTCCATTCCAAAGAGAGGACTGCTTCCACCAATAGGTACAACAATGTTTACTTAAACTATAAGCTGACAGATACTGGCACTTTGGGTTCCTCCTGGCACTAATTCAACAGTGAAGATGGAGGCCACTGTACTAATTAGGATAACTGATGCTTTTAAGAGGATATAGAGTTTCTACTACTACATACTAGAGACAAGGAGGCATTTACATGCAATTCAGGAGAATCCCTGGAGCATCTCCTAGTACTCCAGGACCTACAATCAAAGTCAATAGAAACTTTCAACAATCCACTATAGGCAGTACTATTAATATCCCAAACCCCTTTTGGAATGAAGTTTTGAATCAGCCTATCTGATAAGGAACCACAAGCAGCTGAGGTACTTTGTAGAGGCAAAGGAAATATGGAATGAGTAGGGGAAGAAGGTAGTAATAAATAGCAGCTAAAACCATGTAGTCAGTTGCAGAAACAAGGATGATAATAGTTATTCATACTTTTTTCTTATTTTAAGATGAATATGATTTGGTACATAACAACCAAATGTTTTCTCTTTTCCTCTTCTATTCATTCCCCTACCAAGTAACATAAGCTATGGTTAACTTTATATCTCAGAATCTAAGTTATAAAATATCAAAAAGGAATGTGACTCAACAAGAAGAAGAATAGACATCACCCAAAGATGAATAAAAGGAATTTGTATCCACTTTTTGGGAAAAGGATTATGTGTTTTTAGTTGTATAAGAGATAGTTGCATTATATTAGGCTGAAGCACAGTTTTTCCATTATCTTCATTTGGAGGGTAAGTATGTTTAAAAGAGGTATATATCAACTTAGCTAAACTGAAACTATGTTTCCCAGATTCCCTTCCCTGCATAGTTTCCGTTACTATAGCAAAAGGAGACAGATTGCACAAGATTTGAAAGGCAGAATGAAACAGCAGACATATTCATGTGCTTAGAAGGTCAGTGCAGGGCAGCTGTTGCAGGTCATGCACATCATTGCTGACCTGCTGGCTCACCTGGCTGGTATGGGGCAGGGGCCAGGCCCATAGCACCTCCAACTCCCACTGCATCTCTCCCTTCAGGACCAAGGGCATATTTCTCTATGTGATAAAGGAGCCAGCTTTTACTACAGATCGCCTGCATCATCAAAACTGGAGCCATGGAAGTAATGAGAGACTGATGTGTATTCTAATCTGTTCTGTGGGTTCTGGGACATCCTCACCAGTCCTAGCTTGCCCTTGTATTCCTCCAGTTCATATCCATCTTTTCTTCCTGACTGATCACCCTACTGCTTTAGGCTCTAACAATATACACTGAACTAACAGTGTTTCATATGTAACCAGCTCCCACAATCGCATACATCCAAATTCCTACAATAAATCACCTATTACGTAGAACTCTTAGTGTTTCCTCTCTGATCTGCCCTAACTACAGAGTACACAATTTAGATCGCAAAGCTGGAGCTCACACCCACCTTATCTCTAATACTGATTCCAGGTGCCTTCCACTAAACAAATGCTGCCTCCACCATAATCATTCGGGGCCACATTACCGGAGGGTATTGGTGGTTTAAAATGAGGTGTTGGCCATCATTCTCTCTCTTTAGGAAATGGAGACATAGAAGCTGTATGAAGAGCTACAAAATGGTAAGATGATTAAATGTCTGGTTCAAGAGAACAGATTAACAATCTGAAGTCAGCCTTCAGGGGAGGTCTCTGGGAGCAGGTCCTATCCTAGGGACTTCCTTCAACTGGACCATTCAGCACTTTCAGTTGCAAATTGCTTAATAAAGACAGAAGGTGTGTTGATCGAATTTTCAGATGACAGAAGGGTGGGCCAGCTAGCAAAAATGCTGAGTGATAGAATCAAGAATTCAAAAGATTTGACAGTATGAATAATGAGTCACAGCTAACAAGATGAAATTTAAGAAGAACAGATAGCAGTTTTTACCCTACTCAGCCCTAGCCTGGATAGTGGTGGTGCTAACAGCCCTCACTACACTGGAAGATGGTGCTG
The DNA here is from genome assembly GCF_000001405.40 of Homo sapiens. Lineage (NCBI taxonomy): Eukaryota > Metazoa > Chordata > Mammalia > Primates > Hominidae > Homo > Homo sapiens. The sequence continues at coordinate 21,358,105 of NC_000002.12, read as the reverse complement.
GGATATCACTTGAGCTCAGCGTAGGCAGAAGCACAAGATGCTAATGAGAGGTTTGCTTTAAGCAAACCCTCCGGAGTTCAAAAACCATCTCCACAAATACAGACTTAGAAAGACTAGGCTTAATAGCAGTCTTTGTGAAAAAGACATTGAGCTCAATATCAATCAATGCTGTGACGATGAAAGTATTCATTAGTACTTGGGCCTCATTATTCAAAGTATGCTGTTTCAATACAGGTTGAAGATAATTTTACTACTTGGCCCTGCTCAAAATCACATAGCTGAGGTTTCAGATACAATGCTGAAGGCCACATTTTAGTGACAAAGTAGGATTTGACTAATGTGGTGAGGATATATAATTAAGTCATATGAAGAACATATTAAAGAGAGTGATCATAAGAGTTGGTTTTAAATAATTTGAAGTTTTCATATAGAAAAAATAGAATTTTATTCATATTTCTAGATGACAGGTGAACAGAAACAATAGAAAGGAGCACTTCTGCTCACTATAAAGAGGCATATAACATACTGGTTATGTCTGGGCTCTGGAGCCAAACCACTTACGTGAGAGTTCACAATCCACTCCCCAGCCCTGTTGCAAGTCACTCAGTTTCTCTGGCCTCAGCTTTCTCATTCATAAAATGAGAAAGAAGAGAATAGCCCCTCATATATTTGTTGTGGGGATTGAGTGAAAACAAATAGTATTTACCTCAAATAGCTGTTGTGAGGATTAAATGAGGCAACATATACTTGTTGAGCTTTGAGAAGAGGTCACATGGTCCAAGGTCAATAAATATTCACTAGATTTATTATTATAAAAATGTGCATTGTGATGTTTATAGGTATCCCCAAATAGAACACCCTGCAATTGAGCAAACTACGTCCTTGCCTGCATGTGTTTAAACTAAGACACGCTGTTCATTGATCAGGGATATTGTAGAATGGTGTTTCTCACACTTTTATGTGTGTGTGAATCACCTTTGCATCTTATTAAAATGTGAGATCTGAATCAGCAGGTCTAGGGTGGGGGCTGGTATTCTGCATTCCTAGAATGCTCCCAGATAACGCTGAGGCTGTCCAGGTACCACACTCTGAGTAACCAGGTTGCAGAGGAATTTTTGCACTAGGTGTGAAAAACAGCCTTAAGGTCCCTTCCATTCTAGAACATTCAGATTTTGTGATGTTATACATCTGTGAATGGTAATTGTGTTGAAGCCACATTGTAACTGAGTTATCTAGAGCAAATGACCTAACCTCTTACCTTGCTTTGATAGATTCTGCAAAGCATTTTTGAAGAAATGAGTCCTTTTAACAGCTCAATCCAAAGTCCTCAGATGGAAGCAGAACTACTTCAACAGAGGGTTTCATTTCCTAATTGGCTAAACATCTGTTCCAGTTCTGAGCACAGATTTATCTTTATCAAATACTGATTGGTCTCTGGCTCCTGCCGGCTGCTGTGTCCTGGTGTGTCGGGGAACAAAGCAGGGCAGCTGTGGGAAGTCAGGAAGCCTCAGGAGGAAGGCCACGAAGGGCTGAGAGGCAGAAAAGAGAAAGGCATATGTTTCTGGCAAGCACAGGCAATAGAAAACCTTACTGGCTTAATAGCTGGATAGAACCAGATCCGGGACTAAGAAGAATCTTAAAGATCACCTGATCCATTGTCCTTCATTTTCAGATAGTGAAACAAAGGTTTTGTGGGAGGTGATGATCTTCCGGAGGTAACACGTGCAGATGATGTCAGAACTGGAAACCAGGCCAGCTAGGTCCTGGTCCAGTGCCCAACCCCAGCCATGCCTGCCTCACACCTCCTCCTGAGGACCCCCACCCCGGGAATGCCTCTCAGCCTTTCCGTGGCAGGTTTTCTTCATGCTTCAGTTGCCCCCAGGGTAAGGAGGGTTGAGGAAGATTCTGAGGTGACAGAGAGCAATAAACTATTGTTCACTCAGGTTAATTTCTCAGGTCGAAGCTGCTCCAAAAGATCTAAAAAGTATTTCCACATCATTCACCTTGCTCTCTGTCTTTGCTTTACAAATACGTCAAACAGCAAATGGGACCCAAACACCTATGGTCTTGACACCCTCTCACGAGCCAAGGGCCAGAGTTAAGCCCTGGTTCTCAATACTTCTCCCCTGTAGTCTCCTGGGTTCTCTCCTACATCCTTGCCCTTTTCTATTTGTGCACGGTCCTCATCTCAATAAGAATCAGAATTAAAAGGTGTTCTGACATTAAAAGGCATCCCCACTTTACTTTCTGTGAGGATTGGGTCACAAAAGAGCAATGGGGTAACTTAGAAGCTTTGGAGGAGAGAGGGGAAGATTTCCAGAATTATTTCAGATCCAGAAATTCCCATTTCCCCCAAATTCTATGTCTTCCTGCTGGTTGAGAGCTTGGACACTTTTGGAAGAGAATCAAAAGTCATGAATCCACACTAACATGAAATGAATAGCATCAAGACCTGTCCTGAGAGGCTGGCCTCTAGGTGACCTCCACTTAACTGCTAAGCCTTTTCTACCTGGGAAGGTTGTCTGTTTGAGTTTTTTACAATGTGCTGAGAACTTATGAATGAAGTTTTCCACTCCTGGCTTCCTATATTCCATATAGCAGTTCAGGAATGAAATCTTATCTCTGCATATGACCTAATGTTCTCCGGCACCATGTGGCTCTACTTCTCACTTTACAAATTTGCTGAAGAAAGAATCAACAGTAGTAGCCATCCATCATTTAAACAAAAGAAGATGCATTACTTTTTGCCATAAAGTTGTAGCAACAGATATTCAACAAAAGAAGAGTCCCTAACTAGTGGTATTATTGAGAGTCTTCTAGGATCATGCATTTATTAGCCACTATGACTCAGCTCTGATGGTCCAGCCTCCAGAGTACAGCCAAAATTAAGAATTCAGAGGCTGCTACTCAAAGATGAGGTGGCGTATGATTCTCTGTATTGAGTTGTTTGGGTAATTTTTCAGTTTCCATAGAGCTGAAGGGCTGCCACCCATTTATTAATGTAGCCATGGCTGTGATACACAAGGGTGGGCAGGGAAGCCAACTGCAGGCAGCAGGAACAGTTTGAGCAAGCTATTGGCATTGTCACATTGATTATCACCTATAAGGCACTGGAAAAGCAGAAGGGGCTGAGGGGAACAACACATTGCTCTTCTCTATCTTTTGCTGAGACATCTCTCCAACATCAGTTTATATTGAAAACTGGTTCCATGTTTAGACCAATGCACTAGAATACATGGCAGAGTAAACATTTTGCCATACAAGTTGACATGGCAAATGAGTTAAGCATTGGAAACAGATCACATGGACCCTTCAAACATAACCTAGCAAATCCTGCTGCCAGCCTGCAGTCCTGTGCTTGTTATCCCTTCTTCAGCTTCAGCATCACAATGGCAGGCAATAACAGAGCCAATGTCAGAACACAGCACCCCACAGAGAGGAGAGCTTCCCAGAGGTTGAGTAAAAGAAGGATGTACGTCAATGTCTTGGGTATGACCAGCTGGGGCTGGTGTCATGGGTGGTAAAGGAATTTACCAAGACGAGTGTAGGTAAAGAAAGGCAGCTTTATTAGAGAAAGTATGAAAATATGTTACAAGATTGCAATGGGCAGCACAGCAGAGAAGAGTCTCCAAAGAGGCAGGGGCTGGAGGGAAGTTTTATAGGGTCATGCTTGCTGGGGGGATGACCAGAACATACAGAACAAGGCCATGCAGCTGGGGCTACTTGTGGACTTAGGTCTTGTGCCTGTGGGTTGTTTGTGATTAGCTGTTTCTTACAATAACTTCATTGTTCTCCCCCACCTGGGGCCCTCCCCCACCTGGGCCCCTTCCTCATTGTTGCTTACTTATCAGGACTCCACAGTCAAGACTACAGCTGTCCTCAGCAGTTAGAAATTCTCTTCAGAGTATTTTTCATGGAGGCCTTGGTACTTTTCCACTGCCTCAGAACAGGCCAAGTCTTAGGGGATGACCACAGAGAGGGAAGATTGTGTAGAAAGATCAATGAGAAATGACCACTCTGGTTTTGCTCGTGGCTGCAAAGTTAGAACTAAGAGCCCTCTTATCCATATTTGCATGCAATTTTCTGAGCTTGCTTTAATGGATATGACATTTCATTAATTCTGATTCATTGTGTACTCAAGCCAAAATACATGCAGTTTAGCTCCATTTACTGACAGAAAATAGATGCTGAAAAATCCTAAGTCAGAGTAATAACTGAAGGTGTGTAATTACTCATTACCCAATCAGCTACAAGGTTCAGGGGGCAAGAATGGTTTGGAGATAAATTGCAACTTTTGTGAGTGAATCTGACAGTCTGGGTTACTAGGTGTGTTTCTTGTGATTAATGACACAAGGAAGAAAGGTTTAGAAAAAGTGTTTCCACTGATTCTGCTACTTCTAGGCTGACCCTTAAAATGTTTTTACCAGTTACCAAGGAAAATATAAATTACAGTAGCAAAGTGTGAATTTTATAAAAAAACATTAAAAAATATTACATCCATAACTTCCTACTCCAATTAAAAAGAAACTCAAAATGATAAGTTTTAGGATGATGCCAGAATGGGTCATTCAGCTACAGATCTCAACTTTCTCAGAAAATGTACTTACTAAAGAAAAAACCAACACAGTTGGAGCTATTTATCATGGTCAATTAATGTAAAAGTTTAAATATAGCACAGTTGCTGCATGGGTTCTGACACTGTTCAACATTTCTACAACTTTTATTATATATTAGTATATTAATAAAATAATAAATTATTCTAATTTAATTTTCTAATTATTCTAACTTTCAGATTTCTAGGGGTCAAGTGGGCACTTGGCAGATAACTCATGAAATGGGTCCCAGAGAACCTTTCCCAGGTTCCTCTCCTCCATTCACATTGTGATTGGGAATGCTGTGTTAAGATAACCACACACACACACACACACACACACACAAACCCCAAAACACTAAGAAGCAGAACCTGACAGTATTCTGTGCACTGACAAATGGAAGAGCCTGATGGGGCTGAGATGTAGGGAGAAGTCTAATTCACTAGGGATTGTTGAGGAAGGTTTCACACAGAAGGCAAGGCTTGCATGGGTCCTTGAGGATGAGCTGGGATAGGTTCCAGAGAGACAACAACTTGAACAGTACGGTGGCAGAAATAACCCTGATTTAGGGGAGAGGAAGTATTTCAGTAAGTTGATGGTAAGATAATTCTTATTCATAAAGATCAGATGAAGCCCCATTGGGGTCAGAGGAGGATGGAGTGAGGTTCTGAATGTGAAGACTGTGAATTGAATGCAGAACCACATGAATTTGACTGGAGATATTGACACTCTACATGATTCTTCAGAAACATTGGTCTCAAGCCCCCTCCTTGAAGGATTGGAGTGGCGGGATGATAGAGTCAGGAATATCTGTTCTATGTTCATGGTAGTGGGGCAATGATTAGAAACTCAACAAGAGGAGTGGTAAAGGCAAAAGAGAGGTGTGAACCAGAAGACACGAAAAGGGATCCAGGGACTGGATAAACAGGTACATGAGGTGAAGACGGGAGATGTTACAGCTGGCTCTGAGACCTTTAACCTGACCAGGAAGTCAAGAAGAAGAACCAGCTTTAAAGTAAGAAATACTTTTTTTTTTTTTTTTTTTGCAGTGAGATGTGCTATAGAGATTGGCAAGTGTGGGACAGCTGTGCAAGTAGGCATCTGGATCAGGAAGCTGTGAATGTGGGACTGAAGCAGAAGTGAGCACCCAGAGGTAGGTCTGGGCACAGACAGCGACTAGCTCGGTGTGGTTACATTGAGCCCAGCACCACATACACTTCCCTCAATACCACTGCTGAAGCCTCCTATGTGCATTCTTCATGGGCGGGAACTCCTTTCCCAACCCGTTCTTACTATGCAGCCCTCATTCTGAACAAACACAGGACGGGCAGCCAGAAAAGATGTCAGCATCTATTTGTGGAGGACAAGTAGAGCCATGTGTGGAGAGAAATGGTCCTGTTAATATTCTGTTGAGAAGGTCCAGCAGATGGTCCGATGGGGCAGATGTGGTTTTAGGAGTCACTATAGTTGATTTGTGATTAATGTAAGCATCGAATTTGAGAGTCATAGGACCCTTTGAGAGCATTCAATCGGGTGTTTTAAAACAGTTTTAGTCATGGAAATCATTTTAAAAATGAAAATTAATATGGAAATGTAAACAGCTAAGCTGTTCCTGTTGGGGGCTGGGGATGGGAGTTTGCAGAACCCAGGAGACACCTCCATGAAGTACTGTTTGTTCTGGTGCAGCTGTCCTATCTTAGAAAAGGGGCTACTGAAGCCAGATTGGGGAGCCCAGAAAACACAGCCCTACTGGGACTGTGACACAGAGCTACAGGCCCCCGGGCTAGGACTACCACACTGCTCCAGAAAAAGAGGGAGGGGCCCCAACCCTACTCTGTATTACATCACCCCAGGATATATACAATAGAATATTGTTGAAAGTCCCCTTAAAAAGTCAATAAAAACACACTGCATATCTTTACCAACCACAAAAAAAATTTTAAAGGGCAGAGTTTATCCTCAGAGATGGGACAGAGGCCAGGAGGAGGGAGTGTCAGGTCAGGGCAGGTACTCTAGGGTTCAACCTCTCCTCCAGTGCCAAATCATAGGGTGAAGCCAACATCCACAGAATCTGCAAGGTGCCCCAGGGCAGAAGCGACACGTCTCCGGTTCCCTTAGCTCCACCAGGTTGTTTTCAGCATTCAGCTTCCAAGTAATCTTTGTGCATTTTGTAGCAGATCCCTCCCTGCAGTATCCCTGCTTGAAATTTCACCCCCAACAAAGTGTCCTGCAGAGCCTAGCACTGCACAGCTCTGGCTTCAGGGAGAGGTTGCCTGGGGCCTTCTCCCATTTTGAGAAGAAAGCAAGAGTCTAATTTGCTGTGAACTGTCATGAGCAATAAAACGTTCATTAACTTTAATTGTAAACACTTTAAGTCCCAATCATTGCAATGAAAGGATAAATTGAAAAATCAAGAGTTAAGTACCCTTTTAAAATTTCATATCTTCTATCTTCACCTGGCCTTTTAAACCAGACAAAGTCAAATTAAACAATGCATAGAGTGCCTCCCCACAACTCCATCTGAAAAAAACCTCACCCACCCGACTTTCAAGGTCCAACTCAGATAGATGCTCTCTCATTTGGAAGGAATCTGCCCATTCGTGGTACCCAAAAGCACTTTCTGGTACTCCTAATAATGGAACTTATTTTTGTCTTGTATTGTGTTTTATTTGTCCCAATTAGACTGAGTTACCTGTCAACAGATACCACACATCTTTCTCATCACCATCATTTCAGCTCCAGCAGTAGTGTCTCCTGTGCATATAGTGCTCCAAAATAATTGCAGATGGATCAAATGAATGGTTTATTTTTTGTTAGAAAATGTATTATGAAATACTCAAAAATGCATGAATTTGTTTAGCCTATATCTGAAACTGGATTACACATCATTCTGAAGAATTCTAGTAGCACATACATCATTTTGCTTTGCAGTCTCATACCTAACACTATCCAGTTATATATTTGCTACCTTGATATTTACATACTGCAGTGGAGTACCTAAGTTAAGATACCCAATTTTACACATTAATTTAAATTCTTCCTTGTTTATGCCTATGAAAATTCTTTAGTTCTGTATAACTAGGCTTCAAGAAAAGGCATGGTCAATGACTTCTGAGGAAAGAATATTTGAGACAAATACTTAAAATCTATGTGTTTTGATTCAAAAGCAGGTATCCAAGTCATCAAAAATGTCCATTCACTTTTCTATGGAAAAAATTAAGTGGTTATGTGCCCTGATTTGGGGAACTTAACCTGTTAGCCAAATCAAATGGCACAAGTCACATAATTTCTGCTTTATTCTTTTTTTTTTTTTTTTTTTTTTTTTTTTTTTGAGACGGAGTCTCGCTCTGTCGCCCAGGCTGGAGTGCCGTGGCGCGATCTCGGCTCACTGCAAGCTCCGCCTCCCGGGTTCACGCCATTCTCCTGCCTCAGCCTCCCGAGTAGCTGGGACTACAGGCGCCCGCTACCACGCCCGGCTAATTTTTTGTATTTTTAGTAGAGACGGGGTTTCACCGTGTTAGCCAGGATGGTCTCGATCTCCTGACCTCGTGATCCGCCCGCCTCGGCCTCCCAAAGTGCTGGGATTACAGGCTTCTGCTTTATTCTTACTGTGATTAGAATAGCAATTGAAATGGCCCCTCCATAGATTACAAGGTCTTCATTTGTGCAAATGATGACTGACTCTTTCTGCCCTCAAACTACTAAGATTAATTATGTACAATGCCTTGACTGAATGATCTCTCACAAACCAGCCTACTTTTGTGCTGGTATATCTAGTCCTACAGCAGAGTCAGTGAATGTTATCAGAATAAGAACTCTGCTGCTTAGAAAAAAAAGAAGGCAAAATGGCTTTGTGATGTATCTACTTGGGTAGGCTGAACTACACTTCCCAGAGTTCCCTTTATTGTACATGTCTGGATAGAATAGGCACAAGGGAGATTCTCAGGAAATTTTGGACAGAGGGTAGAGGGAAAACAGCAGCCGTTTTGTAGCATACACACATGGTTACTGACATGCTGATGTGCCTCAGTGATGTGAAGCAGCATCAGGCCCAGATATATCTGTTTTAAGTCTATTACAAAGGTCCCCAGCTTGTACAAGTTACCTCCTCACAAAAGGCAGAGGCAACAAGAACAGACACAGATTTCAGTGCATCATTGTGGGGATCTAGCTTATGTTTGTAGAGTTTCACCTGTGCTCGTGGTATTCCGGCCTGCTTGTGATCTTCCTTTCCTGACTGTCTGCCTTGGACTTCAAGATCCAGCATGAGAGGTGGAGACAGTCTAACAAGGACTATTTAACCAGCCCCCACAATTAAAAAAGCCAATTCTTTATAATAAATCCGTACATTGATAATTGATGAATGATAGATAAATAGATAGAAAGATAGATGATAAATCGATTGGTCTCCTGGTTCTGCTGGCTCTGCTTTTCTGGTTGAACCTCGAATGATACAAAAGCTTTCTTCAGAATTCCATGTCATGATGACCGCATGGAGCTATATTTGCATATACATCATACTGGCTGGCTATCTTTTTATATAACTTATAAATAAAAATGTGTAATTGGATAAAGAAAAAAACTATTTAAATTCTATCTTTCTGATGGATATTTAAATTCTATTTTCTTAATGTATTTGGGAAACAGATCTAGATTCAAACCCTGGCTCTGCAGTTGTTTTAATCTGTGTAAACTTGGAATCAATGCCGCTTAATTTCCAACACGCAGTGTTCTTATCAGTACAATGGGGGATAACAATTTTCCTGCCTTATAGAGCTAATATGAAGATTAAGTGCCACAGTGTATGTTAAATTCTGAGTGCACTGCCAAGCATAGAAGGCACTCCCACGACCTTCCTTCCTCATCTTTTAAATCCTACCTATTGTTCCATTTCTTACCTAAAACCTTTCCCAACAAACTCAACCTGCAACGGCCTCCACCTCCTATTCTATGGTGCCACCAATGTTAACATCTTTATGTTCTATATTCTGTGTACCTCATCAGTCTGATGTTATGTTTTCAGATTAGGGAGCAAGTGTTATACTTCCATATCAATAAAAAGAATTGCAGTTGGTTAGTACTTTACCGCTCATCGTGTACTGTGACATATATTGCCAACTTGGACCCCCACAGTGAGAACAGTTAACACTTGTGGATATGATAAAGTGGCTGCAGTCTGTAATCAAGGTATATTTTCAAAAGCATTAATCTTATTTTATTGCTTGTAGTCAGGAGCAATTTGAATGGCTATGAACAAGGGAAAGGTACTAACAGATGGGCTGGTTATTAAATAAATGCCGATAACTCAGCCAATAACTAACTTGACCCACAGAAGTTACTCATCCAGATTTTGGAAAGAAGTAAATAATAAAAGGGTGGAGTAAATTAATATCCTTGGTTTAAGGGTATTGCTGAATTGACCAGCAGTATCCTTGTGACCTGCACCTATTGTAGGAAAATTCTGAGAAGCTGCAGAGTGGAATGTTGTCTTCCTCCTAGCATCAATATAGGGTCCTCCAGCTGACCCAGTATCTGTTACCTTCTTCCAAGGCAGAGATACCCACTTTTGTGGGGAGTAAGTCTCCTTTAAAATGTCAAGAAATTATTTTTCTCTAAATTTTAATATGTATTGATTTATACATTCTACTTAAAAGATTCTATGAATTGTGCAATTCTTTTAAGATAATCTGTATTTTATAAATCACGAATTTATCGACAAATGTATGCATTTCAAAGATTAGTACATAAATGTGCAAGATTTTTTTTCTGCCTGATGCTGCTTCCCATCACTGAGGCACATCAGCAGATCAGTAACAATGTGTGTATGCTACAAAACCAGAAAAAAATAATATGTGCCAGAAGAGTATATGGATTTGCGCCCCTTGCGAAAGGCTCCATGTCCTTCTGGGGTCCCCAGCACCCTCATTGGAAACCAGTACTCCAAGGCAAATTACCCTGACCTGAGGTGCCTAAGACTAAATGAGTGGAAATACACTTTTTAAGCCACTTAGCAGTGTTCACATCTAAGGCCACTGAAAATGGATTAACCTTGGATTTGAAAGAATTGTTTGCCAAGGATCAAGGACTGGTTTTTAAGACTGAAACATGGAGTAGGGATAGATGGGCAATTCTCTCTGTACACAGGTGTAAAGAGTAACATAGCCAAAAGATTGTACTAAGCACAAATCCCATTTAACATCCCATGAATGGTAATGAAAAGAAATTCAGTGAGAGCCTCGTGTCTCAATTGACTATAAGTCTTTTGCTTTTAAAACCAAATTGATAGAAAGTAGAAAACATTTGGAGGCTTCAGGATTAGACAAAGAGTGGAAAGATAAATTCAGTGTGAAAAGTATTGCATCATGCAACTGGAGAAATTCTTCAATTTTTAAAGAGTGATGAACTCTGAAACATCAGCTGTGTCTTAAAACAAGAATTACGGAACTTCCATAGAACATTTCCTAAATCCTTTACCTTTACAGACAGCTCTAGGGAAAATAGTTAATAAAATATTGGGCTTTGTCATTAAAAGGACCTGGAATCAAAACAGGAAATAGACTCCTGCCCAATCTGAACAGTCTGAGGCACTCACACCTAGATCCTGTTGATGTCTGCATTACCACATTCAAAAACTAAAAATTCTAGAATTAATCATATCAGAGAAAGGAGCCTAAAAGTTTCAGTCAGTCTGAGAAATCCACGTATGAATACATCAGCTCTTCTAACCCTTTCCCTCACTAGCATAACACATTGCCATGGCTTCAATATCATATCAGCATTAATACGTGTAAAATAAAGATCCATTTATTACATAGTGGCTACAGTCTTTGATGAAATGATTTGCATTTGTATATTCCTACAAGATTAGTTTTTATCCCCCTGAGAAGACTAGACCTCTCACCAGATCTCAAATAAGGAAGGTAGGTCTCAATTCTCTCTCAGAGAAAAAACTGCACTGGAAAGATTATTTTTAATTTTCCTGAGTCTTAACTTTCTTTTTGACAAACACTTTTCATCACAGGCCATTATTTGCACAGGAAGTACATTGTCTGTCATGGCAGACAGAGAACTAGGCCTATTCAGATATGGAAAACAATATGCATTCAAATTCCTATTGAATATAATCAAGAGGGCTTGTTTCATATTATAGAGTGATGATTCTGAACCAACTCTAAGATCTCTGGAGCATCTTCTCAGGCCTTCTCAAGACATGTGTGGTCTTGAGAGGGCTCATTAGATTACCTTACTTGACCTCTCAACTTTTTCAGTGAGTGCTCCACCATGTCTTAGTATCACATCTTTTTAATGGCCTCTGTTCTCCGACTGGCCCAAGAAACTCCCTGGGAATATGATATTGTGAGCTAGAGCTAGTGACCATTTTGACTGCTCAACTCTCACTATATGGCAAAAAAAAAAAAAAAAAAAAAAAATGCATTAGCTAACAAAGAAGGTGAAAGCTGATGGATTCCAGGCCCATTCTGTGTATCTAGAACTATGTCAGGTATTAGAAAGTCTAGAGAAGAAGTGGGGTGAAGGGAGGTAAACACACGACAATTACATACAAACTTCTTCTCTCTATGCTGTGGATATAAACGGAGTTCTTCTAACTAAAAAAGTCCTCTTCTCAAATTTCTGGAGATCCTCAGAGTTGTCTAGGACTCTAAAACTTTTCTCATCTAGTTCTCTAAATGTTTTCCAGCATCAACTTGAACTCCAACTTCAGGGCCAGATCCTATCAGCATAAGACTTGCTATGTATGGCATGCTCAGAGAAAGGTGACTGTCAGGCAGAAGCAGAGCTCAGGGAGGCCTGGTAGTGACAGCTCAAGAGGGTGACTGCAAACTGCTTGATGAATCTTGCTGAGATCTGTCTTTGCTTTTGGACCGGACTTTCATTTAAAAAATGGCTGGGTAACACATTCAACACAGAGATGAGCACACAAATTGCCCTATCAAATGGTTTTGGGATAATGAAGTCTTGCAGGATAAAAGAGGCCAATGAAGTATAGCCAGAAACAGCAGAAGAGGCAAGGGGTGCAGGCTTCCCTGTTTTGCCTTGGTAGTGGTGAAAAGCAATAGGAATGTGGATTATTCAGTCTTACCCAGCAACAGATGGAACACTCAAATCGAGTAATTGAAGGAAGGATTAACGAAAGATTCTCTGTAAGAGAGCAGGCAGAATGTAGAGAAGATGCAAAGGACATTGCAGTAGCCTGGGACTGAGAGTGAGTCTTCCCACATCCAGGCCTGAAGTGTCCAGGGGAGAGGACAGGTATAGGAACCTGGAGAAAGAGAAGCAGTGTGGAAGAGCTAACAGGAGCTGTGACCTTCCTGCCTAAGACCAACGAACCTCAGGTGACCCTACAAGGCAGAAAGGAAATAATGCCCATAGCATGCACTCTCCTTCCTCCTCCTGCAGAATTCCTTCCAGGGTCCTCACTGGCTGAACCCAACCCAAAGCCAGAGAAAGAAGGAATGGGAATGAGGGGGTGAAGGGGGGCAGGATGGAGTCAGTCCATACAAGCTGGCCTCCAGGAGCACACAGCATGGATATGGAGGAGGGCTGCCAAAAAATGCAACTTGAGGATCAAATGGAAGCTATCCAGCCTGGAGATCAGGGAAGGACCATTTGTAAAAAATCCTCAGATAATCCTAATAGTGATAACCTGAGACTTATGCTAAAGTATTATACATGTATTCACTCATTTAATCCATTTTTTTTAGGCTCAGCTGGTGGAGTTGCCACCTTCTCTGTAGCTGACTGATTCCTTCCCTGAGGTTGCTCAGAGCCCTCAAAGCATGGGACCACATATTTACCAGGAAGAAGAACTGCAGCTACAAATCAGAAGTGAGCATCACACAGTGAGGAACGCATACAGGAAACTAGACTGCAGCAACCATAGTTCAAAGCATCAATTCCAACGCAGAATGGCAGCTCAGTAAAGGAGCAGTGGTTTAAAACCTCCACACATCTGCTGCCACTGTGGAGCATGTATTTGGTTTATTTAACACAAAATAGACTGTTCTAGACCATTCCTTTCACACACATTACTTTAAACAGTATGTTCTGGGCCACAAAGCCCCAGAGAGCAGTCACATATTGTGAACAATGTCATGTGAGCTTGGTCCTGTGTGGGACACAGCCAATAGGGAGTAGACATCAAGGGCACTGGCACTGTTGAGAAGTTGACCCCAGAAATGAAATCTTGATTGTGCGTAGCAAGGGCTGAATGGAAGCCCGAGCCCCCTTCAGAGCCATGCACAGGAGAAGACCGCAAAACAAGATCGACAGCTAAGGCTGGCCTCTGAAGCATGATGAGAAGCTCTTCTAGGAAAGGCAGAAGATCCATTTCTTATGTATCTGAAAAGGAAAATCTTGGCACTCCAAGACTAAAGCAATGTTGAGCAGGAAGTCAAAGAAGAACGATGAACTCAAGATGGCTGGTCTTTTCATTTTCCTGTTTCATAAATAGTCTTTGGGTTTCTGCAATAGGCCAGGAATGGTTCCTATTGTCATGACTAGAGATATGGATAATGCAGCTGGCAAGAGTATAAGCTGTGAAAACAACTCCAAGAGATGCAATTTACATTATCCCCCAAATCCCTGGACTGTATTTGGTCCCACGTTTGTGACTTTAATAGCCTGCATACTCACTGAGCAATGGAACATCATAAACTTCTTTTCAAATGATAAAAATCATAATTGTTCTCAAAAGCAAATATTCAATACTGAAATTAGACTTGCTTGACAATTTAGATGGATTTTTTTCACTGCCTTATGCTTTCAGTTTCCATGAAAAACTTTCTTATTCAACCTCCAGAGATTCCAAGCTTTTGCCATATTGCCCCCAAAATTATTAACATTTTAATCTTGCTTTAATTAACTCTTGCTCCAATGGGATAAAACTGACAGAATTGGAGTTTGCAAACCAGAAGCTGAAAATCTGGCACACTTGATTAGCAGCTCAAAACAACTGTGGAGACAAGCGCAAACCTCTAAGCAAACACAACCACAAGGAGAGGAGCTGTATGAAAGCTCTGTCAGTTCTGCCCCTCCACCCACTCCCCACCTGCCAGAGCCTGTCCATCATTATTCCATAGCTGTGGAAAGCCAAGTCCCAGAACCCGAGGTCAGGAGACTCTCATTTGACAGGTAAGGGCACCAAGATGTTATCTATCGCACCAAGATGTTATCTATCTCTCAGAAGCTGAAGAAGCCAACACAGTTCTTCAAAAGATGTAAAGTATTAACAGAACTGACACTCTCTCCTCCACTTCTCTTTCAGCACACCATGTACTCTCCTCTCCTACTAACCTGGTTTTTCACTATTAGTCTCCCTTGCTGGTTCCTTTATCTTTCCCTTGGCTTCTTAACCCCCTGTGTCCCAGGGCTCATTCTTTGGCTTTTCTCTTTCTCTTCACATTCATTCCCTTGGTGAACTCATTGGTCTTCTGGCTTTAAACAGAATTTTTATATCAGTAACTCCTAAATCTACATATTTCTTTTGGAAGATTTCCCCCCCACCCAGATAGCTACATATGTACTTCTCAATTTCCTCCAATTGTTTTCAAATGCTACTTTTTATTGAAGACCACATTGACTACTTAATTTAAAATTTCATTCCCTTGCTATCCTTCAGAGAGTAGAAGTAAG
Source organism: Homo sapiens (assembly GCF_000001405.40). Classification (NCBI taxonomy): domain Eukaryota; kingdom Metazoa; phylum Chordata; class Mammalia; order Primates; family Hominidae; genus Homo; species Homo sapiens. Next base: position 21,342,860 of record NC_000002.12, on the reverse strand, counting down.
AATGTTCAATATCACCATCACTATTCAATGTCATATAGGAGGTTCTAGCTAAGGAAATAAGGCAAGAAAAATAAATAAAAGGCACCCAGGTTGGAAAAGAAAAAGGGAAATTATTTCTATTTGCAGATGACATGATTTTACATATAGAAAATTCTAAGTAATCCACAAAAAAATCTTTCAGTGCTAAAAAAGAGTTGAGTTTTATTTTTATACACTAGCAATGCATGACCCAAAAATGAAATAAAAAAAATTTTAATTACAATAGCACATGAAAAATGTTTAATATTATTAGTTCTTAGAGAAATGCAAATCATAACCACAATGAGATACGTCCCATATCATTAGGTGACTATAATAAAAAAGATAAACAATAATAGGTATCGATGACAATATGGAGAACTTGAACCTTCATACATTGCAGCTGAGAATGCAAAACCATGCAATTGTTTTGGAAAACAGTTTGACAGTTCCACAAAAATGTTAAAACAGAGTCATCATTTGACCCAGGAATTTCACTCCTTGGTATATACTCAAGAAAATTAAAAATATGTGGCCATATAAAAACTTGCACATGAAATCTTTAGAAACTTTATTCCTCATAGCCTAAAGGTAGTAACAATCCAAATGTCCATCAATTAATGAAAAGATAAACAATATGTGACACATCAATAGAGTAGATTATTATACAGCCATTAAAAGTTACAACAGGGATTAGCCATGAAAATATTATGATAAGTCAAGCTTGCCCAACCTGCAGGCTGCAGGCTACATGCACCACAGGACAGCTTATTTTATTTTATTTTATTATCATTATACTTTAAGTTTTAGGGTACATGTGCACAACATGCAGGTTTGTTACATATGTATACATGTGCCATTTTGGTGTGCTGCACCCATTAACTCATCATTTGGCATTACGTATATCTCCTAATGCTATCCCTCCCCCCTCCCCCACCCCAAAACAGTCCCCAGTGTGTGAGGTTCCCCTTCCTGTGTCCATGTGTTCTCATTGTTCAATTCCCACCTGTGAGTGAGAACATGTGGTGTTTGGTTTTTTGTCCTTGCAATAGTTTGCTGAGAATGATGGTTTCCAGCTTCATCCATGTCCCTACAAAGGACATGAACTCATCCTTTTTTATGGCTGCATAGTATTCCATGGTGTATATGTGCCACATTTTCTTAATCCAGTCTATCATTGTTGGACATTTGGGTTGGTTCCAAGTCTTTGCTATTGTGAATAGTGCCGCAATAAACATACATGTGCATGTGTCTTTATAGCAGCATGATTTATAATCCTTTGGGTATATACCCAGTAATGGGATGGCTGGGTCAAATGGTATTTCTAGTTCTAGATCCCTGAGGAATCGTCACACTGACTTCCACAATGGTTGAACTAGTTTACAGTCCTACCAACAGTGTAAAAGCATTCCTATTTCTCCACATCCTCTCCAGCACCTGTTGTTTCTTGACTTTTTAATGATCGCCATTCTAACTGGTGTGAGATGGTATCTCATTGTGGTTTTGATTTGCATTTCTCTGATGGCCAGTGATGATGAGCATTTTTTCATGTGTCTGTTGGCTGCATAAATGTCTTCTTTTGAGAAGTGTCTGTTCATATCCTTCACCCACTTTTTGATGGGGTTGCTTTTTTCTTGTAAATTTGCTTGAGTTCATTGTAGATTCTGGATATTAGCCCTTTGTCAGATGAGTAGGTTGCACAGATTTTCTTCCATTCTGTAGGTTGCCTGTTCACTCTGATGGTAGTTTCTTTTGCTGTGCAGAGGCTCTTTAGTTTAATTAGATCCCATTTGTCAATTTTGGCTTTTGTTGCCATTGCTTTTGGTGTTTTAGACATGAAGTCCTTGCCCATGCCTATGTCCTGAATGGCAATGCCTAGGTTTTCTTCTAGGGTTTTTATGGTTTTAGGTCTAACGTTTAAGTCTTTAATCCATCTTGAATTACTTCTTCTATAAGGTGTAAGGAAGGGATCCAGTTTCAGCTTTGTACATATGGCTAGCCAGTTTTCCCAGCACCATTTGTTAAATAGGGAATCCTTTCCCCATTGCTTGTTTTTCTCAGGTTTGTCAAAGATCAGATAGTTGTAGATATGTGGCATTATTTCTGAGGGCTCCGTTCTGTTCCATTGGTCTATATCTCTGTTTTGGTACAAGTACCATGCTGCTTTGGTTACTGTAGCCTTGTAGTATAGTTTGAAGTCAGGTAGCATGATGCCTCCAGCTTTGTTCTTTTGGCTTAGGATTGACTTGGCAATGCGGGCTTTTTTTTGGTTCCATATGAACTTTAAAGTAGTTTTTTCCAATTCTGTGAAGAAAGTCATTGGTGCTTGATGGGGATGGCATTGAATCTATAAATTACCTTGGGCAGTATGGCCATTTTCACGATATTGATTCTTCCTACCCATGAGCATGGAATGTTCTTCCATTTCTTTGTATCCTCTTTTATTTCATTGAGCAGTGGTTTGTAGTTCTCCTTGAAGAGGTCCTTCACATCCCTCTGTGAAGTTGGATTCCTAGGTATTTTATTCTCTCTGAAGCAATTGTGAATGGGAGTTCACTCATGATTTGGCTCTCTGTTTGTCTGTTACTAGTGTATAAGAAAGCTTGTGATTTTTGCACATTGATTTTGTATCCTGAGACTTTGCTGAAGTTGCTTATCAGCTTAAGGAGATTTGGGGCTGAGACGATGGGGTTTTCTAGATATACAATCATATCATCTGCAAACAGGCACATTGACTTCCTCTTTTCCTAATTGAATGCCCTTTATTTCTTTCTCCTGCCTGATTGCCCTGGCCAGAACTTCCAACACTATGTTGAATAGGAGTGGTAAGAGAGGGCATCCCTGTCTTGTGCCAGTTTTCAAAGGGAATGCTTCCAGTTTTTGCCCATTGAGTATGATATTGGCTGTGGGTTTGTCATAGATAGCTCTTATTATTTTGAGATCAATACCTAATTTATTGAGAGTTTTTAGTATGAAGCATTGTTGAATTTTGTCAAGGGCCTTTTCTGCATCTATTGAGATAATCATGTGGTTTTTGTCTTTGGTTCTGTTTATATGCTGGATTACGTTTATTGATTTGCATATGTTGAACCAGCCTTGCATCCCAGGGATGAAGCCCACTTGATCATGGTGGATAAGCTTTCTGATGTGTTGCTGGATTCAGTTTGCCGGTATTTTATTGAGGATTTTTGCATCAATGTTCATCAAGGATATTGGTCTAAAATTCTCTTTTTTTGTTGTGTCTCTGCCTGGCTTTGGTATCAGGATGATGCTGGCCTCATAAAATGAGTTAGGGAGGATTCTCTCTTTTTCTATTGATTGGAATAGTTTCAGAAGGAATGGTACCAGCTCCTCCTTGTACCTCTGGTAGAATTAGGCTGTGAATCCATCTGGTCCTGGAATTTTTTGGTTGGTAAGCTATTAATTATTGCCTCAATTTCAGAGCCTGTTATTGGTCTATTCAGAGATTCAGCTTCTTCCTGGTTTAGTCTTGGGAGGATGTATGTGTTGAGGAATTTATCAATTTCTTCCAGATTTTCTAGTTTATTTGCATAGAGGTGTTTGTAGTATTCTCTGATGGTAGTTTGTATTTCTGTGGGATCGGTGGCGATATCCCCTTTGTCATTTTTTATTGTGTCTATTAGTTTCTTCTCTCTTTTCTTCTTTATTAATCTTGCTAGCAGTCTATCAATTGTGTTGATCTTTTCAAAAAACCAGCTCCTGGATTCATTAATTTTTCAAAGGGTTCTTTGTGTTTCTGTTTCCTTCAGTTCTGCTCTGATCTTAGTTATTTCTTGCCTTCTGCTAGCTTTTGAATGTGTTTGCTCTTGCTTCTCTAGTTCTTTTAATTGTGATGTTAGGGTGTCAATTTTAGATCTTTCCTGCTTTCTCTTGTGGGCATTTAGTGCTATAAATTTCCCTCTACACACTGCTTTGAATATGTCCCAGAGATTCTGGTATGTTGTGTCTTTGTTCTCGTTGGTTTCAAAGAACATCTTTATTTCTGCCTTCATTTCGTTATGTACCCAGTAGTCATTCAGGAGCAGGTTGTTCCATTTCCATGTAGTTGAGCGGTCTTGAGTGAGTTTCTTAATCTTGAGTTCTAGTTTGATTGCACTGTGGTCTGAGAGACAGTTTGTTATAATTTCTGTTCTTTTACATTGGTTGAGGAGTGCTTTACTTCCAACTATGTGGTCAATTTTGGAATAGGTGTGGTGTGGTGCTGAAAAGAATGTATATTCTGTTGATTTGGGGTGGAGAGTTCTGTAGATGTCTATTAGGCCCGCTTGGTGCAGAGCTGAGTTCAATTTCTGGATATCCTTGTTAACTTTCTGTCTCGTTGATCTGTCTAATGTTGACAGTGCGGTGTTAAAGTCTCCCATTATTATTGTGTGGTAATCTAAGTCTCTTTGTAAGTCACTAAGGACTTGCTTTATGAATCTGGGTGCTCCTGTATTGGGTGTATATATATTTAGGATAGTTAGCTCTTCTTGTTGAATTGACCCTTTACCATTATGTAATGGCTTTCTTTGTCTCTTTTTATCTTTGTTGGTTTAAAGTCTGTTTTATCTGAGACTAGGATTGCAACCCCTGCCTTTTTTTGTTTTCCATTTGCTTGGTAGATCTTCCTCCATCCCTTTATTTTGAGCCTATGTGTGTCTCTGCATGTGAGATGGGTTTCCTGAATACAGCACACGGATGGGTCTTAAATCTTTATCCAACTTGCCAGTCTGTGTCTTTTAATTGGAGCATTTAGCCCATTTAGATTTAAGGTTAATATTGTTATGTGTGAATTCGATCCTGTCATTATGATGTTAGCTGGTTATTTTGCTCGTTAGTTGATGTAGTTTCTTCCTAGCCTTGATGGTTTTACAATTTGGCATGTTTTTGCAGTGGCTGGTACCAATTGTTCCTTTCCATGTTTAGTGCTTCCTTCAGGAGCTCTTTTAGGGCAGGCTTGGAGGTGACGAAATCTCTCAGCATTTGCTTTTCTGTAAAGTATTTTATTTCTCCTTCACTTATGAAGCTTAGTTTGGCTGGATATGAAATTCTGGGTTGAAAATTCTTTTCTTTAAGAATGTTGAATATTGGCCCCCACTCTCTTCTGGCTCATAGAGTTTCTGCCAAGAGATCAGCTGTTAGTCTGATGGGCTTCCCTTTGTGGGTAACCCGACCTTTCTCTCTGGCTGCCCTTAACATTTTTTCCTTCAGTTCAACTTTGGTGAATCTGACAATTATGTGTCTTGGAGTTGCTCTTCTAGAGGAGTATCTTTGTGGCATTCTCTGTATTTCTTGAATTTGAATGTTGGCCTGCCTTGCTAGATTGGGGAAGTTCTCCTGGATAATATCCTGAAGAGTGTTTTCCAACTTGGTTCCATTCTCCCCATCACTTTCAGGTCCACCAATCAGACATAGATTTGGTCTTTTCACATAGTCCCATATCTGTTGGAGGCTTTGTTCATTTCTTTTTATTCTTTTTTCTCTAAACTTCTCTTCTGACTTCATTTCATTCATTTCGTCTTCCATCACTGATACCCTTTCTTCCAGTTGAACGAATCGGCTACTGAGGCTTGTGCATTCGTCACGTAGTTCTCATGCCATGGTTTTCAGCTCCATCAGGTCCTTTAAGGACTTCTCTGCATTGGTTAATCTAGTTAGCCATTTGTCTAATTTTTTTCATGGTTTTTAACTTCTTTGCCATTGGTTCAAACTTCCTCCTTTAGCTCGGAGTAGTTTGATCTTCTGAAGCCTTCTTCTCTCAACTCATCATCCAGCTTTGTTCCATTGCTGGTGAAGAGCTGCATTCCTTTGGAGGAGGAGAGGCGCTCTGATTTTTAGAGTTTCCAGTTTTTCTGCTCTGTTTTTTCCCCATCTTTGTGGTTTTATCTACCTTTGGTCTTTGATGAAGGTGACATACAGATGGGTTTTTGGTGTGGATGTCCTTTCTCTTTGTTAGTTTTCCTTCTAACATAACAGTTAGGACCCTCAGCTGCAGGTCTGTTGGAGTTTACTGGAGGTCCACTCCAGACTCTGTTTGCCTGGGTATCAGCAGTGGTGGCTGCTGAACAGCAGATATTGGAGAATCGCAAATGCTGCTGCCTGGTCGTTCCTCTGGAAGTTTTGTCTCAGAGGAGTACCCAGCCGTGTGAGGTGTCAGTCCGCCCCTACTGGGGGGTGCCTCCCAGTTAGGCTACTCGGGGGTCAGGGACCCACTTGAGGAGGCAGTCTGCCCGTTCTCAGATCTCAAACTCCATGCTGGGAGAACCACTACTCTCTTCAAAGCTGTCAGACAGGGACATTTAAGTCTGCAGAGGTTACTGCTGCCTTTTGTTTGTCTGTGCCCTGCCCCCAGAGGTGAAGCCCACAGAGGCAGGCAGGCCTCCTTGAGCTGTGGTGGGCTCCACCCAGTTCGAGCTTCCAGGCGGCTTTGTTTACCTACTCAAGCCTCGGCAATGGCAGGCGCCCCTCCCCCAGCCTGGCTGCCGCCTTGCAGTTTGATCTCAGTCTGCTGTGCTAGCAATGAGCGAGGCTCCGTGGGCATAAGACCCTCTGAGCCAGGTGCGGCATATAATCTCCGGGTGTGCCGTTTGTTAAGCCCGTTGGAAAAGCACAGTATTAGGGTGGGAGTGACCCGATTTTCCAGGTGCTGTCTGTCACCCCTTTCTTTGACTAGGAAAGGAAATTCCCTGACCCCTTGCACTTCCTGGGTGAGGCAATGCCTCGCCCTGCTTCGGGTTGTGCACGGTGCGCTGCACCCACTGTCCTTCACCCACTGTCTGGCACTCCCCAGTGAGATGAACCCAGTACCTCAGTTGGAAATGCAGAAATCACCTGTCTTCTGCATTGCTCACGCTGGGAGCTGTAGACTGGAGCTGTTCCTATTCGGCCATCTTGGCTCCACCCCGCAGGACAGCTTTGAGCCTGACCAACACACATTTGTAACATTATAAGATTATTTGCAATTTTTTTAGCTCATCAGCTATCATTAGTGTCAGTGTATTTTGTGTGTGGCCCAAGACAATTCTTCTTCCAATGTTGCCCAGGAAAGACAAAAGATTAAACACCCCTGAGATACGTGAAAGAAGCCAGATACAATAGGCTACATATTATATGATTCAATTACTTTGAAATGCCCAGAACAGGCAAATCCATAGAAACACAGAATGTGTACTGTTGGTTTCCAAGAACTGAGGGAAGCAGGAAATGAATAGTGACTGCTCACAGGTACAGGGTTTCTTTGGCAGACAATGAAATGTTCTAGATAATAGTGATGAATTAGCCGGGCGCAGTGGCTCACGCCTGTAATCCCAGCACTTTGGGAGGCCGAGGCGGGCGGATCACAAGGTCAGGAGATCGAGATCATCCTGGCTAACATGGTGAAACCCCGTCTCTACTGAAAATATAAAAAATTAGCTAGGCATGGTGGTGGGTGCCTGTAGTCCCAGCTACTCGGGAGGCTGAGGCAGGAGAATAGTGTGAACCCGGGAGGCAGAGGTTGCAGTGAGCCAAGACTGCGCCACTGCACTCTAGCCTGGGTGACAGAATGAGGCTCCGTCTCAAAAAAAAAAAAAAATAGTGATGAATTATATACTTTAAAGAACGAATTTTATGGCACATGAATATCTCAATAAAAACCATATGATGAAAACATGAAATGCATCAGGAAAAATAGTTGCATTTCTACACCTTAGTACACCTGTTTCCTTAACCCATGTATGGTTTACCTTTTCTGTATCACTTAATCACCTCCTAAACTATTACATAAATTACTTATTAATTTTATTAAAAGACCATCTCTCCCCACTACAGACACTACAAAATAAACTATATAAGGACAGGGATTTTTGTTTCTTTCACTGGTATACTCATTTCCTAGAATGGTGCTTGGCATAGAAGAGGCTCTCCGAAATTGTGTTGACTGAGTGAGCAGGATGAAAGACCTTTGTTAATGTCTTTAGAACAATCCCATGTTCACTCGGAACAGAAGTATAATTGCAACTAAGCCTATATGGTAAAAATCATCAGGTGTTTGATTTACTTATTTTCCTTTCTCTGTCCTTTTCTTCCTCCAAGCATGACTGCTTGCACATAGTCATTTTGGTAGAGGGCAGTCACTCATAATTGATTAACTTCATATCCTTACCCATGGGGGCTGCCTGCAAGATGAATGAACTTGTTTTTCTTTTAAAGAACAATGATCCTTAGGTCATGCAGACCTCCGTGGTGGCATCCAGAAGTTTGATCACAGAAGGACACAAGCAGCTTTCATCATTGGGGGATCTCACCTCCTGCATACCTTCCTTACTCATAAAAGCCCCCAGTTATATTCAAAGGCAGGTTAGATTTGAGAGTTTGCCTCTCTCTCCTGCCCTCACACTTTGGCAAAATCAAATAAACCTTTCTCTACTCCTAAGCCATGATGTGTCAGCATTTGGCATACTGCACATTAGGTACTCGAGCCTACCTTTCGGGGTTCTACCACACAATGATCACGTCCTTTCACGAAAGGAAACTGGGAAAACACAGCTACAGAAACACGTTGGTGGGGCTCTTACAGAGGTTGTTTGGGGGTTTGGGGGCTCATTTTATTTTGGAGGATTTCTGAAAAATCCAGAGCATGCTGTCTACTATCCCCTGAATATACAAGGCTCAACAAATAGGTAAGCTAATATTTAATCAGCATTGTGGTCTGTCATACGTTAATTACTAGTGATGTAAACATGACCTCCAAGCAGAACTCCAGTGGTTTAAAGCCCCAATCCAGACTGTTTTCTCAGCTTTAAAGGCCCTTTCCACTTCTTCTCTGCCTATCCCACTTATCCTTCCATGCCCAGGCCCCTTACTCCTCTTCCAAGAAGCCTTCCCAGCTGCTCAAGTCTACAATGATTTCCCTCTTATCTGACTACCAGGCAGGATTAACGTGACTTACAGCACCTGGCACCAATGTGCATCCATGTGTATGTGGGCGTGGGTGTGTGTAACCATGACACTCTCTCATAAAAAAAAAAACAAAACAAAACAAAAAAAAACAGCAACTAGCAGTGAGCTGGCATGCAGTAGGTCCCTAACTGAAATATATGAGTAGAAGGCAGTTGAAGATGGTGATTTGTATGTGTTGTGTTCAGACAATGTAGGAAATCAGTCCTTTGACAGCAAAAGAAGAAAAGAAAAAAAATAAGACGAATCTTCATGGTTTGCATAAAAGTGTAACTATTACAGGTGGCCCAATTCCCAGTTACTTTGTTCCTGACACCAGAGACCTGTTTTTCAATCAAAATTGCAGCAGCTGTGGAGCTGTAAGGCTGGGCTGGCACCTGGGTCAGAGGTTCCCCATTAGTGCTGGCAGATTTTTCATAATCAAGACACTTCTGAAATGCTGAACCCTACGCAGTGCCAAAGGTTAACGATTCAGTGTGCAGGGACTGAAGCGCAAAGCAGGGCATCAGACAGCTCGGAGAGTGACGCCACCAGTGGACCTGTTTTTGCTGCTCCAGTTACATTCTTGAATCTATTGGACATTTGCCTCCTTGCTGAAGAGTCATTCTGCAGAGAACACTCATTAAGCAGGCTGCATTAATCCTGTTTTTCTAACCCTGGTTCATGTTTATGCATTTGACAGTCAACATTTTTGAGCAGTCCCTCTGTACACCATTGAGTCTGGTTATGCACATGCAAAGAGAATTGGAGAGTGAAGGGGTCACCTGCTGAGTTCAGTGTAAACTGGCAATCTAGACAGTTTTGCATAACAATTACAACTTGCCTGTTGTTGCAAAATATTAGTGGTATATGAGAGACTACTTCATTCCACTTCATCCCCACTGATGTGTGCTGTTTCAGATCATGATTAGTGAGCAAAATAAACTAAAATTAATTTTGATTAAAATTTGGTGACATTCCTTAAGAAAACTGGTGATAACCTGTGGTGTCAGAGCTGGGGATAATTGTTTCAAGAAATCAGTCTCTCTATAATCCATTAAACTTTTATATCTCACTGCTTTTTTTTCCTTTCAAATAACATTACAGAGGATGTTTTATAAAACATATACAGCTCCTCGGCTGTTCTTGGATATCCTACTGTCATTTAAAACTCAATATATTCCAAAGAGAACTAGCCAATCCCCTACTTCCCCTGCCCCATATCATTTCTGGCCTTCTTTGTTTTTCCATTTCTACTAATGATTTCATTCTGTAGCTTAAAAGCTTCAATTTCCTTCATTCAAAATACCAGCTTAGCCTTTTAAGTCTAATCAAACTTGAAAAATGGTTCCTATAGAACAGGAAACATTTCCTATGCTATAGTATACTATAGGGTTCTCCAGAGAAACACAATCTATATATATTCTATCTGTAGCCTATGTATATATATCCTCTATAGACACACACGTGTGCACGCATATATATATTTATATCCTGTATATAAATTTTCTATATTTTATATGTATATCCTATATATAAAGAAATTTATTATAAGGAATTCGTTCATGTCATTAGGAAGGCCAAGTCTAAGATCTACAGGGCCAATGTCATAGTTTAAGTCCAACAGCCAGTAGCTGTGATAGAGCTGATGAAGAGCTGATGTTTCACTCAAAAGGCATTCAAACGGGCTAATCCTTTCATATTTGAGAAAGGGTCAGCCTTTTGCTTTATTCAAGCCTTCAACTGATTGGATGAGGCCCACCATATTGTGGAGGAAAATCTGCTTTAGATTAAGGTTAAGATTTTAACCTTAATCTAATCCATTAACACCCTCACAGAAACTCAGAATGTTTGACCAAACATCTGGACATCCAGTGGCCCAGTCACATTGACCCATAAAATTAGCCATCACAATATGGCTCGAAGAAGTAGTATTTTATCCCTTCTTCTTGGGTGATCTCAGAATTTCTTCTACACTGTTGAAGAGACTTGGCTAGCATTCCTGCCTTCAGTCTCTCTCCCTCTCTGCTCACAAGAGTACTTCCAGACTAGTCTTTGACATAATTGTATTGCACTACAGATAAATCACACTGACCTCTGACTTCCTGTCTCCACCTGGCTTCTGCTCCAGTTTCTCACTCCCAGAGACTTCCTTGATTCCAGCCTATAGTTTTTCTTCTTTTTTGGAGTTTTAGAACTTCTTGAAAGTGTGCTGGAAGCCAGGCCTTCCTTGAGTTCCAATGTGACCACCCTGTGCATTTAGTTTTCCAATATGAAACTAATATAGCAATATATATTTATTGTGGTTATTGTGTATATTTCTACAGATACTAGATATTTCTCCCTTTATGGTATATATTTCTCTGTATATATAGTCATATACCTATAGGAAAATACACAGATAAAGTCTGGAAACAAAGACCACTCAAATGAGAACAAGCAAAGATCATTCAGAGCTTGCTAGAGCAAGGACATTACTTCCAGTTCAGAGACACTAAAGGTAGGCAGTGGAGTATAAAAGCTTTATAATGAACAAAAAGGGAAGATTCAGATATGCCACTATTGGAGGTTTTTGGCATAAGGGAAGCTGGAGGTAGGCTCACTAGAATCAGGGCATCCTGTGTAATTGGAAAGGAGAGCGTATTTAGCTTCCCCTGGTTAGTTCTAAACTGGAAACAGGGCAAAAGATAGTGCAGCTGGCAGTTATTGATTCAACTCCTGACTGTTTGGGGCTGATTGCTACAGAGGTTGTGGTTTGTCCTTCTGGACTGATTGCTACAGATTGCGAGTCAGAGTTCTATTTTTATATACGGTCTGGCCATTCTCTATTTGTAAAATCAGTTTCTCAAGAGAGAGACGAGACAGAGAGAAATTCTGATGAGATTAAGATAGTATTAGATCAAGGCTTAAACCACCCAATCCTGTCCTAGAACACTACAATGTGAAAGGTCTCCGAGTGAAATAAATACATCCAGAGGGTAAGGTGCAGCTAGATCATACTGATACCTGATGTTTGGTCCCAAGCCCTAACATGTGGCTCTAATGAGCAAGAGGAAGGACTGTTTTTCCTTGTGCTGGGGAAACCAAAGGCCCTACCTTCTCTGCTTCTCCTAAGCCTGGATTGGGATCTTGCCTCCTACTACTTTAACATAAGGAAGGAGAGTCCATGCCAGGCTCCAGGCACCAGAGAGAAGGACAAAGAGAAAAAGATCGCAGGAGAGAATACTTCCCCAATGGCAACAGCTTCTGCCCTCTTGTCCATGCCTGCTTTCTCATATACCCACTTCTAGGAGGAGAAGAAGAAGAAATAGTCAAAGATACAAAGTGTCATTTTAATTCCGGCAAGACAAAAGCAAGAGAAGAGTCACCCATATCTGAGCAAAACCTTATAATTACACAAAGTTATTTTACTTCCTAATATATTACTCAATAAAATATGCCCAGATTTGATTCCGCCAGAGAGTCTGGGGTGTTTTAAACTCCCTCTTCACAAAAGCTAATATATAAATTAATTTTTGCAGTTTTTCTCTGTTTTTTTTTTTTTTTTTTACTAACAGCCCACACTTTTCCCTTGTCATTTTTTCTCTGAAAAGACAGTTTGTTAAGGTTTTACAGAACTACATTACAGAACTAAACCAAAATTTAAGCAATTCCCTACTATGAACATTTATGGTTTTTTTCCTAATTTTCACTATAAAAATAATGTAGTACTAGGAATCCTTATGCAATAGTCATTACACAAATCTCTGATTATATCCTAAAGAAAAATTCCTGGAAATGGAATTACTTGCTGAAAGTTCTGGACATTTTAAGAATACATATTCTTAAGACTTAATACATGCTTCCAAATTACCCTGCGAAAATGATTATGCGAAATTACACCCTCAACAGTAGAGTAGAAGAGAGGCCAATTTACCACAACCTCTTCGCAGCTTTTCTCTTTGCAAAGTAAATAAATGAAAAAAATATGTTATTTTAAATTCACATTCTTGTTGGTCACTTACATTTCTTCGTTTAAAAATGGTTTATAAACTTTATATATTTTCTACTAAGGTACTCATTTTTATGTTGATTTATAAAAGGGCATTTAACTGAATTGGAATTAATTTTGTTACACGAGGTAGAAATCTAACCTGAGTATGCTCTTCAAAGGTAAATCAACTGTTCTGGTTCTAATTGTTGAATAATTAATTTTTCCAAGGATCTGAAATACTATCAAATCACATGAATGTATATGTAATTTAGGGATGTTTTAACACTTTTTATTTCATTCATTTTTCTATTCTGTCTTTTACAATACTTTTTCCTCTTGAAAGATATCACTGGATTTTTCAGTTTTGTACATTGTCATAAACAGTAGGGCAGGTAACATGTATGTCTTTTACACAATTTTCTTGAATAATCTTCACTCATTCTCCTAGGTGAACTTTAGAATAATCATATCAATTTTTAAATAAGCAAACACTGTGACTTTATTTGAAATTGTGTTAAAACTATAATTTGCAGAAAGTTGACATGGTTACAGATCAGTCTTTCCTATCTATGCGTAAGGTGGATCTCTCCATTTATATAAGACATCTTTTATACTGCTCATTAATGCTAAGTGGTTTCCTTATACATCTTACCTTTTTAATTAAGATTTCTTTTTGGGCTGGGCATGGTGCTCATGCCTCTACTCCCAGCACTTTGGGAGACTGAGGCTGGTGGATAGCTTGAGCCCAGGAGTTCAAGACCAGCCTGGACAACATGGCAAAACCCCATCTCTACTTTAAAAAATACAAAAATTAGCCGAGTGTGGTGGCACACACCTGTAGTCCCAAGTACTTGGGAGGCTGGGGTGAGAGGATCACCTGAGACCAGGTAGGTGGAGGCTGCTGTGAGCCATGATCTCACCACTGCACTACAGTGTGGGTGACAGAGTGAAACCCTGTCTCAAAAAAAACAAAAAAAAAAAGGAAAAAAAAAAGACATTAGATTTATTTTCCTTGCTCATGTGAATAACATCATCATCTATTATTTTTCTAATTGGTTAATGTTAAATTATGGGAAAGAGAGTGCTTTTTAAATGTTTGCTTTCTATCTTATCAACTTGCTAAGCATCCTTATTAGTTATACGTCAGGTGTCCTAGGCAAGAGACCCTAACATCAACAATAAATATAATTTTGCTAACCTGTTTAACACATATTCAGTATTCTGCATATACTACAAATAATTGAATTGTTCACTTTACATGAGCAAATTGCATGCAAATTATATCTCAAAGCTATGAAAAATAGGAGAGGGATGAGAGGGATAAAAATGCAAGTTCCTCTTGCATTTTTCTGTCCTGTCTTATTTCATTAGTGAAAACTTCCAGAACAAATTTTAATGATTGTGAACATGCTTATCACGTTCCTGTTTTAAAAGGAGTGCATCTAGTGTTTAATCCTTGACTCTGCTAGTAAAGCCTGGTTGGCCACACATTGCAGCACTTCCCATTGCTCCCTCATTAGCTTAATAATCTCGGAATTGGAAATGTGTGTAACCAATAAGCAAAAGGAATGGATTCTCGGTCTGTATTGTTGCCATAGGAATTCTTCTCCCACATTTTAAGCTTACTGGTTTATTAATATACACAGCCTCTAGTTCAGTGGTTCTTAATCCTTGCAGTACACTGAACTCGCTGGGGAGCTTTTAAACTGGTTGAACCCTGGGGCCTCTGCATCAGGTTTTTTTTTTTAAAGCTCCCCAAACAATTCTAATATGTAGCTAAGTTTGCAATCCACTGTCATCAGTTTTCAGACTTAAGTAAGCATAAAACTCAGCTGAAGGGCTTGTTAAAAAAGGCAGAATCCCAAGACCCAGCCCTTCCTTCCCAAATTCTGATTTAGTATGTCTTAGGGAGGGTCTTTTATCTGTATTTTAACACATATTTTGAGAAACACCTCTTTTGATTATTATCTCTCTAGAGGACTGCAACCCTAGCTACATATGAGCATCATCTGGAGAGTGTTGACTGACTCCGGATCCCTGAGTGCCCACTTCCAGGCATCTTCATTTAATTGCAGATGAAAACTCCAGTTCCTGGAGTGCTTTCTTTTCGTCACAACCCCTTCCTCTACTTGCACTACTGAAAAAAGCCCCCTCACTTGATCTGCTTCTGCCCAGAACCCACATATTTAAATTGGGGTTTATATTCTCTGAGCAGATAAAGAAAAATAAGTAGTAATTGGGTGGACTAAAACATTCTCAATTTCTTTTGAAAGCAGATTTTTCTGTGAGTTCTCCATTTAGTGTAGCCTTCTCCTAACTTTGCTTCAGGGCTATGGGTGTGCCGCTTGTCCTTCCAAAAATAAAGGTATCAGCCCCAGCCCATGCTCAGGATTTCCAATCAACTACAGATCTTATCATAATTAATCCAAAGGCATCTCAGACATCATCACAAGTCACAGGTTAATTCACACTTTTAGGCTATTAGGCTTTTCCATGTTTTTCTCAGAATGCATGGATATTTTAGTAGGAAGTACTGAGACTGAGTCACCACTTTTTTTTTTTTTTTTTTTTTTTTTTTTTGAGACAGAGACTTGCTGTCGCCCAGGCTGGAGTACAGTGGCTTGATCTCGGCTCATTGCAATCTCCGCCTCCTGGGTTCAAGCGATTCTCCTGCCTCAGCCTCCCGAGTAGCTGGGATTACAGGCACGCACCACCATGCCCAGCTAATTTTTGTATTTTTAGTAGAGACGGGATTTCTCCGTGTTGGCCAGGCTGGTCTTGAACTCCTGACCTCAGGTGATCCACCCGCCTCGGCCTCCCAAAGTGCTGGGATTACAGGCTGGAGTCACCAAGTTTTATAAAACACTACCTTGTGGGGAAATCACAATTTATTTTTGTAACAAAAGTTTATTGAGGGCCAGCCTGTGCCAGACATTGTGTTGTTTCCTATAAATGTTATTTCTCATCAACGAGTCCTGTATTTTTTCTAATGGGTAAATTAGAAAGCCAGGACTCATGCCAGGACTCAGGCCAAGGTCTTTCTGTTTCAGTACAACTGTCACATGCTTCTGTGGCTGAGGGGATGGTGTGTAGATGGGCAATGGTTCCATCATCCTGTGGTTCTACTGCACATGGAAACTCTCACCTGCCTGCTGCACTAAATGGAGCGAGGAGGAAACTGATCTGAGCAATTCAGACAAAGTGGAATTTGTTTTGCTGCAAATGATTCAAATCATTAAATTCAACAAATACCCATTAAGCCTCTATTATGTGTAAGGCTCCACAACCCTTCGCAAGCACCAACTATAAATTAGATTTGTTTTATGTGAAATCTTCCCCCGTTATTGCTAGGCTGAAACACCATATTTTCATTTCTGTTCCACTTATTCGCTCTTTTAAAAAAGAGATATACATTCTCTCAACTGTGTTAAGATCAGACATCCCTGATGAACCAACTTCTATTTCAGAAAGAAAGAATAAGGGCAGGGTGTTGGTTTCATGAAGCAGCAGAAAGCTCTGCAGTGATGATTCTTCACTGCCTCTCTAATCCCTCTCTAAACTGTCCTAAGTTGCTGGATCGTGTCTCTCCTGAGCCCTCTGCTGTCTGGGAATGCTGATTTCTCATTACCCCGAAGTGAAGACACCACAGCCCCATCTGTTCAACCTCAGTGCTCTCCATTCCCAGCTTGGCTTAAAAATGCAAATTCAAAGACAACTTCCCCACCTATGAGGTCAGTATAAGGCCTCCTGGGTCACTGTGTCCTGCCTACCAGAACAAGCCATATAAGCAACTCTAAAATATGCCCCACCACTGGTGCTAGGCAGTGCTTTCTTTCCAAGGTGGTAATAATAAGGGGATTATGGTTTAATCAGATCTGATCCAAATGCCTCTCTGGATCTCCCTTTTGAATATGCTCCATTGAGACCTTGCTTTTGCCACACGATATGCAGAAAGACAATAAGGAGCTTAAGATAGACATATATCTAAGCCCCCTCTGAACTAGAGAAATCAAAATTGCAACAAATTCCTCCCAGTCCTCGGAAGTCTGAGGCATCAATGGCGACAGGCTGGGGAAGATGATTTGTTCTGTATCCACCTGCAACCCCTGTAGATGCTGTAAATAATAAGAGCTTGCTCTTTGACCCCCTTCCACGCCACTGAGATCAAAAAGCCAGGCCCAGAGAAGGTGCCCAGAGTGGTGCATTATTAGCTCCTTATCTCAGCTCACTTTATCCAGGCATCAGGAATCAGATACATGAAATTTAGCTCAGAGAATTCAATCATCATGGAAGAAAATAGAAGTCAAAGACTCTGATCATTTATTTGTTCAATAGTTATTTCTTGAGTACCTACCCTCTCCCTACCATATGTTCGAGTGCCTTTCAAAAGATACCTAAGTCGACTGCCTTTCTAAAGATGGAGAAAAACAGTAGGGATCATCCATGTCTACCCAGGGCTTCTCATCATGGTCAGCGGTAACTGAATACAAGGCCATCTCTGTCAAGATGGACGTACTTAGGGCTTAAAAATAGTGCCAAAGGAATATGAGGAGAGGGAGGCCTCAATATGCTGGCTCCCTAGTGAAGACGGTTTGATCTGTGGAGAAGGATGGGCAGGAGAGTCAAATGACAGAAAAGAAGGCCTTTGGATGGTTACTTTGTCCCCCAGTGTAGCTCCCTGACTCAACTGCCTCCTACAAAGAACTGAAAAAGCTAAATTTAATGACTTGACTTAGCAGGAAGAGTCAACAAAGTAAATAATTTCAAATCAGGGAATAAATAAAGAAGGGGCCTTCAAGTTTAAAATAATCACTGAAGCCAACTTTAGTTTTAAAAATATTTAGAACACCTATCAATACAATGGAATATTATTTGACCACAAAAATGGAGTAATGATATATGCAACAACATAGATGAATCTTGAAAACATTATGATAAGTGAAAAAAACCAGTCATAAAAGACCACATATTGTATAATAGATTTACATGAATTTTCCAGAATAGGGAAATCCATAGTCACAGGAACTAAATTAGTGGTTGACAGGAGCTAGAGGTGGGGGAAAATGGGGAGTAACTGCAACTGGGTATGGGTGTCTTTTGCGGGTAATGAAAATGTGCACAGGTATGTTTATTGCAGCACTATTCACAATAGCAAAGACTTGGAACCAACCCAAATGTCCATCAATGATAGACTGGATAAAGAAAATGTGGCACATATATACCATGGAATACTATGCAGCCATAAAAAAGGATGAGTTCATGTCCTTTGTAGGGACATGGATGAAGCTGGAAGCCATCATGCTCGGCAAACTATTGCAAGGACAAAAAACCAAACACCGCATGTTCTCACTCATAGGTGGGAATTGAACAATGAGAACACTTGGTCACAGGAAGAAGAACATCACACACTGGGGCCTGTCGTGGGGTGGCGGGGAGTGGGGAGGGATAGCATTAGGAGATATACCTAATGTAAATGACGAGTTAATGGGTGCAGCACACCAACATGGGACATGTATACATATGTAACAAACCTGCACGTTGTGCACATGTACCCTAGAACTTAAAGTATAATAAAAAAAAAGAAAATATTATAAAATTAGATAGTGGCAATGGTTGCACAACTCTGAATATACTACAAATCATTGAATTGTTCATTCTACATGAGCAAATTGCATGCAAATTATATCTCAAAGCTGTGAAAAAATAGGAGAGGGATAAGAGGGATAAAGAGAGTGGCTTATAGAGTCATTGTTGAGGCTAAAGGTCAAAATATTGATTAACTCTAGAATTCAAGTTACATATGCTTGTTAAAATTTCTAGGGTACTCACTAAAAGAAGAAAAATAGAGTGTAAAGCTTCTAAGATGAGAAATGTAATAATAAAACATAAAATAACTCAAGAGTAAGGCAAGAAAGAGGAAAATATAGAACAGACAAAATAAATAGAAAAATTAGATGCTATACGGCCAAGTGCAGTGGCTCATGTCTGTAATCCCAGCATTCTGGGTGGCCAAGGCAGGAGGATCCCTTGAGCCCAGGGGTTCCAGACCAGCCTGGGCAATATAGTGACACCTCTTCTCTACAAAAATATATTTTTAAAAAATTAGCCAGGTGTGATGACATGCACCTGTAGCCTCAGCTACCTAGGAGGCTGAAGGGAGAGGATTGCTTGAGCCTGGGAGTTCGAGGCTGCAGTGAGCTGTGATCACACCACTGCACTCCAGCCGAGGTGAATATTTGCTTAGGACACCCTTAAGCCTCCCCTTACCTTGGGTCTAATATGTAATCAGTAATGACGCCTTTTGATGCTTCTCCATGTTACCATTCCTCTCTGTGCCTATCTCTACCACCCTAATTTAGGACTGTGTCACAGCTTATCTTGGGAGCAAGACCCTGTCTCAAAAAAAAATATGCTATAAATAAAAAACACAAATAAATATGTTGAGTATGAATATATACATAGAAATCAATATATTGTGTAGGAATATCAGTAATTATGAAAAATATTGACACATAAAATATTACAGTTAAAAGATAAAGATCGAAGACGATAAAAATAAATTCAGTTTTGTGTTATTTATTTAAATTCAGTTTTGTGTTAGATATGTCCTACATATCTAAGACATAGGATACCACAAGATTGAAAGTAAAATAATGAAAAGATATATATACCAGATAAATATTAAAAAAATAATACTGTATCAATATCAGACAAAATTGACTCAGGGAAAAATATAACTAGAGAGAGAAAAAAGGTCACTATATAATGTTAACAGTTTCAGTTTATCAGAAAGTCATAATCACTCTTAATACATATGTACCTAATATATATCCTGAAAATATTTAAAGCAAATATTTCTATACCTATACAGAAAAATACACAAACTACCACGTTAAAGATTTTGTTTAACAACTATCTTGGTAGCTATTAGCCTAGGCAGAGGATAAAACCATTAAGAATATCAACTGAAATGATACTATTAGCTGCCTCACACAATGGACATTTCTAGAACATTCCACCCAACAATTAAGACAATGAAATCTTTTCAACCAAAATCAACAATATATTGGACCATAAAGAAAATCTCAACACATTTCAAAGGATTTGGTTTCATGCTAAATTCACAAAGCAATTAGGTAAGAAATAGTAGCTAAAAGATAACTAGGAAAACTTCACTTTTGGAAATACAAGCACCCCCTCCTAAATCATTCACACATCAAAGACAAAATCATATTACGAATTCAAGAATATCTAAAACTAAATGGTAATGCTATGTAGCAATTTCCTGCATTATGAAATGCAATTAAAACGATCGTGATAGCAAGACCAGAATCTCAAATGCTTATGTTGGAAAAAGAAAAAAAGCTGAGAAGTATTGAACTAAGCAGCTGTCTTAGAAAGTTAAAAAAAGAACAGCAAATTAAACCCAAAGCAAGTAGAAACATACAATAAAGATAAAAGCAGATTAATAAAATAGAAAAGCAATATACAAAAGAGAGGGTAAAACAAAAGCTAGAAGTTGGCTCCTTGTGAAAAGTAATAAAATTAACAAACGTCTAGCAAGATTGATCAAGATAAAAGGTACAGAACACATGAATAAACAATATTAGGAATAAAAAGGGGAATTTAATTACCAATGCCACCAAAACTAATATGATAAGAACAGATTATCAGGAGCTTTATGCCAAGAAAAGGGAAACTTTAGATGAAAATTAACTTTAACTCACCAAAATATCAAAAAATGTAAGGTGAGCAGAAGGAAGCACTCCAAGAGGGCATTGTCCGAGAAAGACTTGAAGGTAGAAATGGCTTTGGCTTTGTGGGGGACAATCACTGATTTGTTCTATAAGAACTAAAATGAAGTCTGTGTCACACTCCTGGCTAGCTATTATAGGAGACAGAGGAAGTCAGCTTGAATATTACCCCTAAAGTGCTTACAGCATGGTGGAGGGTTTAAGGAATGTACATGATATGTAATGGAAGGAAATGGAAGTTATTCGAAGACTCGCTAAAAATTTAGTGATGACAGGACCTAGGTTTTGTGTTGGACTATGTCAGGATGAGGATAAACAGAGGATGGAGAGGCAGGGTGGAGGGCGCTAAATATGAACCTGAGAAATTTGGACTTCTTTCTGGATCAATAGAAAACACTGATGTTTCTGTCTAAGAGAAAACCATGGCCAAGGTTTAAGATGTATCAAGCTAATGTAGATACACACATATGACAAATGGGATTTGGAAATGTTGAAAGATGAGGCATGGTGGCCACTCTGGAAAATATTGTAGTAGTCAAGATAGACTGTGAGATGGTCCTAAATTAGGGTTGTAGAGATAGACCCAGAGAGGAACAGCAGCATGGAGAAGCATCAAAAGGCTTCATTACTGATTACATATTAGTCCCAAGGTAAGAAGAGGCTTAAGGGTGTCCTAAGATGTCTAGCCTGAGCAAATAGAAATTAAATAAACTTATGACTATTTGTTCAGTCATTTTTTTTTGTTTTGAAGGAATGACTGGGAATTAATACAATCTTTAATGTGTCCTAATTTCTCAAATCAGGTAGCATGTGACCTATGGGAGAATACAAATGCTAATTCAGATATGAAGACTTGGCCATTCTGGCAACTGGACCTTGGCTAAGAAGTCTTCCAAAATAGGCCAATCAACAAACCAGCAGTGTGAAGGTTACATTCAAGATCAAGGATATGTGAGGGTGGACATGGTTCCTCAATGCCTCTCTTTGATCCTCACCAAAGTCTATTGCACATAATGTGGGGAGCACTGAGTCAGATGCAGAATTCTGGGGCCATTGTGCCTGGGTGCACAGGGCCTTCAGCCAGCCAGGGTCCACCCTATTATCATATAAAGAACTTTGCGCTGTGTATTTACTGCCTCACTGGGCTTAATCCAAATGTCAGTGAAACAGATCCAGCTGTGGACGACAATAGCACATAGCAAGAGGAAATGGTTTAATCAGAAAGTCAACTCAGGAAGAATTTTACAGAGGGTGTGAGGTCAGACCTCTTGGTTTTCAGATGATAAAACTGAGGTTCCAAAAGAAAAATATTTCCCCCAAGGCCTGTAGCTTTAAAAGGATGACTGACAGCTAGGTCATCTCCTACCAGGTAGGCTCTTTCCCCTCCAACCACATGCTGCCTCTGGGCAGATAGATTCTGCTTGGAGCTCCACGAACCACTGTGGGGCCTGGTTATTCATGCTTTGTGATGCAGCCTGCTTCCCTAGGTTGCGGGTTATTCTCGCACCATTTCCAAAACCCTCCCCAAAACTCCTTTCTGGATCCTAGGGTGGAATTCATTCTACAACTCTGAGGATCAGGATCAAGGAGCTCTAATTTGTGAGAGAATGGCCCTGGGTGGCACAGCAGTATATGATATATTCTTTGCGTGAAGAGCAAGGTAAGAGTCACTAAAAGGCTTGGCAGAGCAACCATCAATACTCACCCTATGTGAGATACAAATGATACCCATTGGTGTAGCACCTGCAAACTGTAAGCAACTTGAGGACAGAGACCAGTCTTCATGTAGCTATGGGCCTGACAAAGACAAGCAGAAGGTGTTCAATCAACTAATTCTCAGCTGATAGGCTATGGGAATGCAGCATTCTAGATAAGTTTACTGTCATTAAATAAAATTGGGCTTCCATTTTGTATCCATTTTAAATGGACAATTTTTCACAACGCATGACACCCACACTTCCATCTCTTCTACTTTTTTTTAATAACTTGTGATCACCAAGTTGCGTATCTTTTAAAAATGAACCCTGATGTAATACAGGAGGAAGATTGAAAGGCTTCTGACTTTGTTCATGTGATAAATAGCCCCAGACGGCTGCTCTCTTGAGTTTTTCTGTCTGCCTTGGATGGTCTTCCTTTCTCTCTTGTGCAATCTGGCTTCAGCTGCCACTTCTTGGTGCTCCTTTCTTCCCTCACTCAGGTATCCCAGGCACCTCAATATCCAGAGGCTGGAAGAAACATCTCATCTGCACATTTTGAGAAGAAATGGAGCTGCACAAAAGATACAGTCACTAAAACCATCTGTGTGGGTCAAGAGTGGGATTAATCCTCATCACGGGCAAAGTCGTCCCTCTGGGCAGAGTAGCCCCATATTGGAGGGCGATCATACACAATAGGGAAGTTAAATTTAGTTCAGTATAGAGATGGTCTCCCCTGGAAAACAAAGAACCAGGGTTTTTTTTTATCCTTTTTAAATTTTGTTTTATTTTTCAACTTGTTTGACTAAACTGCTTCCTCACACTTGAGAGATACAGACCAGACAAGCCCCTGTTTTTCTGTTGTAGCCAATATTCTCATTATATATATTGCTAGATTAACATTGCCTTATTGTAGTTTGATACTATGGTAATACATCAGCATTCTGTATACCCTGATTATCCAGAACACAAATTTTAAACAGAAAGCTGTCTGTTGCCTGGATTAAGGAAGACATAGGATTATCTTCATTGCTCTCACCCAGAAAACTATATATAATCAGTAAAGACATTAATTTGTCATAGTATTTATTAAGCTTCTACTGTGCATCAGGCACAGCATTATCTAAGAAGATGCTGCCGTCTAAGAAGAATCAAAGTGGGACTGCTGAGTTGGCCACTGAGGGCTTTACTGCCAGGTGTGGCTGATGGAACTGGATGTGGTTTTGTTTGTTTGTTTGTTTGTTTGTTTTTAAAATCTTCTTGGTCTGTACTATGTCAGCTCTTCCTTCTTCTCTGTTCCACATTCTAGTGACACGAGGTGGGGATTCTTCTCCTGAGGTTAAAGAGAGTACCGGGGCAGCAAGATGCAGCGTCGAGGCATCGGGACCCAGAGCAGTGGGCAGATTGTTAGAAACAGGCGAGTATTTGAAGAAAAGAGAAGTGTGAGCTTGAGTTCTGAGACAGGCAGCAATAAGTTAAGCTTCCTTGCTGTTCAGTTTGAATCACTTCTTTGGAAAATCAGGTTCCATGATGTATTTTCAAGATTGAAAATTCAATCACCTTTGCTGTCTGACTTCATTTGACCTGGCAGAAAAGAGGATAAGGAAATGGTGGGGCTTGCAACTGTCGCTCTTTAGAGACAATAAGCTCCCCACAGGCAGGAACAATGTCGTATTTTTTTCCTGCATCCTCTAAACACTGAAAGCAAGGTCAACTTTGCACTGAGTAGGTGCTTAATAGGTCTCTTCTGTCTTATTTTTTTAGCTACACCTATATATAAAAATATTTTTAATTTCAAAGTATGTACATCACCTTATAATATTCAAAGTACTTTCCCACACATTAGCGCCTTTGAATCTTATATTACAAGGCTACCTAGTTTAGTGAACCAGCTGGACTTGGCAGTGTGCAAGCCAAAGGTAACTTTCTTCTATCTCACTGCTGACCCTTTACACCTACTCCGTAGAATCAGTCTTCCCTGTCAGATAAAATCCTGGACAGTTCCTACAGCATTTTCAGTTACTTCATGATTTGGAAAGCCCCAGTCAAGTTTAATATTAAACTTTCAAACCCTCATTCAATATAAAGTCTCTCCTGTTGCCAAGCTTTGGTTTGTCCCAGGCTCAGAAATCTACATCCTACATCAGCAGAGTTGGAGGGGTGTGGACAATTTCAGATTTGGTTTGCTTCACCTCCTCCCTCACTGACCATTTCTGCCTTCTCCATAGTCAGGTGAAGGGAAGGGAAAAGAGATAAGGAAGGAAAGAAAAGGCCTCTCTTGTCAGGCAGAGTTGTAATCTAGTGTTGGTACCTTGAGTGTAGTAATTGTCCATATGTTGGACTTGATCCTTTCTCTCCCAGGTTGCTTTTGTGGGTATTTAGAAATTCTCCTCCACCCCCCATTCTCTGACTGCAGTTCCCTAGTACAATCTCTAGCTAACCCCGCAGGATGCTCCATGGCTTCTACAGCTAATAGTGCAGTCCTTCTGCAGAGCCCACCTCACCCCTAAGCAGGACGCCTCATGGCCAAGGTTCTTTTGCAAGATGGCCCACGGCCTCCTCTGTCCATCAGACTCTACATCTGGCCCACAGAAAACAAGCACCTTTGCCCCACTGTGGTGGGAGGGCAGCTCACTCTATGGTAGCCCTGTCCCTGCTCTGCCACCGCAAGGAACTCCAGCCAGCTGCTCACCTGGGATTTTCTCTGGTTGAGCCACATCCCAGTACCTCTCCCTCCTAAAGTTCACTAGCCATACGTCAAGCTTTCCTGATCTTTGTGTGAAGCCCC
Source organism: Homo sapiens (assembly GCF_000001405.40). Lineage (NCBI taxonomy): Eukaryota > Metazoa > Chordata > Mammalia > Primates > Hominidae > Homo > Homo sapiens. Next base: position 21,317,717 of record NC_000002.12, on the reverse strand, counting down.
TTCCCACTCAGCTTTGAGAGGAGGAAGGGGCAGAAGACAGGACAGGAGGGAACGTTCTGCACACTAACACTCTATCTCCAAAGAACTCTCCGCCTCTCCATTCTCTCCTAATTCTTTACTTAGCCTCCCACAATATAACTTGGAGGAAGGTGATAGCCAAGATTGACCAGCTCATTGTGGAATCACCCTTCAGCGTGGTTTCCCAATTTTGGGTCAGAGAACACAATACCAAAGTCAAGTTAACAGGAAATGTCCCTATTTTAACGATTCGTTAAAAAAAAGGCAAAATTGAAGAGATGAAAGGGAGTAGCCATTAATTTTTTCACTTCCGTCTAACAGGTAACGGAAATAGGCTCCGGCCTTAGTTTATACTGCCACGAGGGGGCAGTATTGAGACTTAAACGAAAGTTGGCCTCAATCACCACGTCTACTGCCCAGAGCTCTCTGAGCCCCCTTGCTTCACAATATGCCCCCTGCTCATCCTCTCCCAATTAAGCACAAGACAAGAGACCTTGCCTTCAGACACCCTGCTGAGCCCTGAAACTGGGCACAGCTGAAGGTTCATAGGGAAAGCCGTACAGGCTGAGTGTCCAGCTATAAGCAATCCTAGAACTAATGGTGATAATAATTGAAAACAGTTACATAGCACCTCTAAGCACTGGTCTAAGCATTTAACATCTTTTAATTAATAACTACATAATCCTTAAAACTATTCCCATGAGGTAGACACTGTTATTATCTGCCATTTTACAGATGAGGAAACTGAGGTACTGAGGGGTTAAATAGATCATCCAAGATCATTCTATTAACTTACAAAGGCAGGCTTCTAGGCACAATTTCTGATGCTTTAATTCTCAGACTTTAGTTAGCCTGAGAATCACCTGGGGAGCTTGTGGAAACACAGATTTCCAGTCCTTCCATTTAGATACTGACTGTGTATCTGGCTTGCAGCCATTTTAACATACCCCCTGTGATTCAGGTGAAGGTCTGTATGCACTAGGGCCTGGTACATCATTTATCCAGAGACAGACTTAGAACTGTCCTCATAACTGTGCGACACCATGGTAAGTAGGCCAAGGATGGACCCATCAGCAGCAACGTGCCAAGGAGAGTCAGTGTGAAGGGCAACTGGAAACTTCCTCAATTCACTCTTTTCCTCTACTTTCATAGTACTGATTGTTGAATAAGTGACATGTTTGTTGAACAAATGAACCTGTTCCCAGGCCCCTGAAGAGTGTGAAAAGAAGTTTACTTTTAATATAGTTTAAAAACACTCCGTAATCTAAAAAATAGCTCACACTATTAAACAACTTCAGCAAATCTTCTGCACTACCTGCCAAGGTCATAGTTTCAATCTCACCTTCAATTATTGATAGATTGCCTGATAATTTGAGAAGAGAGAAACAGACTTTTTTCAAGATTTGGAAAAGGAAAATCCTTTTAATAAGAGATTCCATCCTGATTACATAGCTCTTATCAGGAAATCCCTTGAAAGCTGAATTCCAGAAGGTAACTATTAAAAATGCCATTGAAAAACTGGAAATTATCTGCTTACACAGCTTAGAACAGACCCAGAAGGGATAGTATATTTGGTGCAAAACAAGAATTAAAGATTGTTCTTGCGGCCAGAACTGGACTGGAAGTTTTGAACTACTTTTGCCCCCACAACTCCACTTCTTTTCATGGTTTGGCAATAAAATGCTCAAGGAAGCAGATAAGAAGGCAGAACGCTGGCCATTTTTGACTGAGGTAATGAATGTATTATTAATGATGCCACCATTCAAGATTTTCAACAACAGTGAATCAAACTGTGTTATAGAAATAAAAAAGGCTCAAGCCTGGAGCAGAGCTTGGCCAAAGGACAAGGAAGAGATGTAACAAGGCAGGAGCCAAAGACTGGACATGGATTCGCCTCTTCTAATGAATACCTAGACATGGGGGTCCTAAGGCTCTGGAAAGACTAAGTCCGGGCCCAGTGCTTCAAAGTCAAACTCAAGAGTTACATCAGGAGAAGCCACATTGCCTAAAATCTACATTTACCTATTCTTCCTACAGGGGTCCAAAAATACCAATGGACTTCTGCCAGCAAAATTTCAACTTGCTCAGCTCTGGCCACATGACCCTTGAAAATGGCCCAACCTATCATCTGATTTAGGACTGCTTATTTCTTAAACTTCTTCAGCTCACTCTGAATGAAAATGTTTTCAGAAGCACTTCCAAGTGTAAGACCAATTATGCACATCACGGGAAATTGATTTGCCTGTGTTCCTCCATCCCCCCACCCTCTTCCTACCCCTTCACTCAGTGTTGGATTTCATATCCCTTCACCACCACTTTTGGCTACAGGATGGGGGAGAAGACTTCCAGGCTTTCAGGCTGACCTTGGAGAAGTTACTGTCTCCCTGGGACACATAACAGACATTGACACAACAAGTGAAGGCCAAGCAGAGAATGACCTTGCTACTTTTTGTGTCCACTTGGCCTGGCTTTCAACCACTGGAATAGGAAAAAGCAGCCCCAGCAGGACCTGTGGGTCACAAAACCATGCTGGTTCTTCCTGGTGGTACCTTAGGACACTTTGTTGACAGAAAATTCATAAATGGTTTGTCTAATGTCTTTACCAAGTATCGAGAATAAGCTACAAATCAGACATTATTGTGATCTCTTGTTTCTCATTATTAAATAAAGAAACTACAATTTTAATATATCTTGTTGAAAAGAACCATTTAAGCTAAATATGAATATGGCTTTTATCTAGGATTAATGAACTGAATATTTTAAACTGTCCAATTAGGAAAATGTTTGCCTTTGAGGCACTAAAATAAAAGATTCAGGTTCCCCTGACCGCTACTCTCAGATCAACACCCCAGTGAAAGAAAACGCTATGTAGGTATATACACATTAATTTTTCTTTCTACTGAAATATGTGTTTATCATACATGTATTCATCAGCTTTCATGAATGCTGTCAGATGTGGAAAATTAGCTTTTGCATTTACTAACTCCTCCATGGGAAAGAGGTCCCTCATGTGTTTAACAAAAAGGAGCTTTATTGTTTATGAGATTGAAAAATAAATGTTGCCATGGCTTTACAATCTGGTGATTGGTAATCAGTTTTCATAAATGACCATGAATCACTTCTGTGCTGGCCGGGCTTTGTTTGGAATATGAGATGGCTGTTCTGTCTTACAAGTAAGGAATTATTAATGTACCCTCCCTGGAGGGTTTCAATTTCACTCGTACAAATAGCTGTATATCTACCAAGTGTATGTTCAGTGTGCCTATCTATGAAATTTAAAATTATATGCTTTGTGTAAAACAGAATATATAATAGACTCTGAAATTGAATAAAACTTATTGGACTCATTTTTTATCCTTTGTGACATTTTTCTAGTAAAAGAGTTCAGACAAAAGGCACTGCCACCAAGGAGCCAGGAATGCAAAGTCCTGTCCAATTTAAATAATCACTCCTTTCTGTCATGTTTTACAAAGAGATGTATTCAAACATGCTCTTTGGGCATTTCTATATTCTGTTCTTGGTTTTCACAAATATGAGCAGGCAAAGATCCCCTTTACTCCTTTTGTATGTTTTTGCCACTTTAAAAAAAGTATAATCTTGGCGATTGTCTCATTATAAAAATGAGAGGGCATTCTTCTGAGATAAATAGGACAGAGGCCTGGCTCACATGGATTTTAATTTAGTTCCAAATTTCACATCCCTCTTCTTCTCAACAAATAAGGTAAGAAATAAAGTCCGAGATAATAAGGAGTTCATGGCGAATCCAATCATGCCACCCACCTTTCTAAAATCCTTCAGTGGGATCTGGCACGGTGGCTCACGCCTGTAATCCCAGCACTTTGGGAGGCCAAAGTAGGAGGATCTCTGGAGGCCAGAAGTTCAAGGACCAGCTAGGCCAACATGGCGAAACCCATCTCTACTAAAAATACAAAAATTAGCCAGGCATGGTGGGGCATGCTGGCAATCCCAGCTACGTGAGTGGCTAAGGCATGAGAATCTCTTGAATCCAGGTGGCAGGGGTTTCAGTGAGCCAAGACTGCACCACCGCACTCCAGCCTGGGCCACAGACTGACACTCTGTCTCAAAAAGAAAAAAAAAAGTCCTTCATTGGTTACCTATATCCATATGGCTCAAACTTGTTAGCATGGCCTACAAGGCCTTTCCATGATCCACCCCTTGAAAAACCTTCCAACTTTCTGTCTCCCACTCCCCTTTACTGATACCTCTCTAGGCATGTGAACTCCTTTCATTCTGGGAATGCAGCTCTCTTGCTCTCTCTCTCCCCTACCCCCAACCCCATCCCACCCTCCCTCTTTCCCTTTCCAGTTGGATCCAATGTTGTTGAATGCAACACTACATAAACTCTTTGCTAGTGGTGCTGGCTGGGCCCTGTAGGCGGGAAAATCTTATACCCACACAAGTTCTATGTGTTTATTCCTGTGAAAGGAAACTGCTCACCTCGCAGGATGAGAGGGGTCCAGTGTTATCATCTTGCCACCAGTGGCCACTTTATATTTTCAAGGAATGGTGCAATTTGAGTGTTCAGCACTGGCCTCTGTTGCTGGCAGGCTGGACATTGGTGGTGGGAGTAAATAGATTAGCCTTGGTAACTCAGAATCCGTGTTGCTGAACCCAGGTGTAGCATTCACCTCTGCCATAATGGCCATTCTGTTCATGTATCCCTCAAGCCAGCACTGAAGTAACTGATGACAGAGGCTGGCTGCCATCATCCAGCTGAGTCATTTTGCCTATTTGGTTTTTTAGTGCCTCTTCTTTTGGTGATCTCTGGTGGGTACAACATGTGCTATAAAAATCTTCACACTTCATGACAATTCGCATTTGTCCATGCACATGTTATCAACCCAGACTTCGTTATTGATCTTCCAGTCTGTTTCTATTTGCTGCTGCCTGTGAGGCCATATGTATTAAACCTTTTCTTTTTTCATACAAAATAGATGGCCAAGTGTATTATCCAAAGCTCTTACAATTAAGAGAATTTTCTCCCACTGCTGTTTTTCAAGGATACCTCCAGGCTGTAATAAGGTGGCTGTCCATTTTTGGTTTTTACCCATGTAACAGGTTGACCCATTGGTCAGCAAGATCAGCCTTTTTCCTCTTTCCTCAACTGCTTGCATGAGATCCCACACACAGTCCTAGGCATGAGCCAAGGGATAATCACTAATGCAATAGTAGTGGATGCCACAGGGATCTGGGCTACCTGCTCAGGTACTTGCTTGTGTCCTCTGGTCCTGTTCATGCCCAACCCGGGATGCACCACTTCCATCTTGCAATGGATTGTTGTGGGTCTACCCAACCTACGACTTGGAAAGTCTGACAGGACTCAGCTGATGACGGAGAGTTTCAGCCACATGGTCACCTGTTGCCCCATTGTCAGGCATTCTGTCACTATCAGGGCTCAGCAGTATACTAGGAGCTGATTTTTGTTCTTTTTTAAACCAAAACCAAAAAACACACAAACAAAAAACCATGATTCTCCATTGCAGGTAGCATGCCTTTACTCTAGAACCTCATGGGCCTGCTTTGGGATTCCATCACTAGAGCTTGTCACAACCCCTAGGTGGCATCTCTTGCCACCACCGATGCCTCCAACACCACAGAGTCTACTGGATCATATGGCTGAAGTGGTAGGACTGCAGAAACTTTGCCTGTTCTGGGCCTTCTTAAAGCTAGCAGGCTTTTGTGTTACTTATGTATGGGCCAAAGCAATATCTCTATGATGTGTAGAATACACTACCAATGGAACTGAAAAGTCCTACCAGCACTGTTGTGCTCCCTTCTTCAAGACAGAAGGTGCAGGATGCAACAATTTCTCTTTTCCTTTCAGAGGGATGTTGTGTCATGCTTCTGACCACTGGGTTCCTAAAAATTTTATGAATATAATAGGTTCCTGAATATTTGCAGAATTCCTCTTCTGCTCCCCATGAGTCTTACCATAGCTTTCAGTATGCCACCTACCTCTTCTTCTTCCAGCCCGGTCAACATGATGTCATTGATGTAATGGATAAATGTGATGTTCTGCAAGATGTCCAGAAGTCTTAGATCTGTGTCATCCATTATGGTAGCCCCTAACCTCACGTGGCTGTTGAGCATATAAAATGTGACTAGTGCAACTGAGAAACTGAATATTTAATTTGAACTAATTTTAGTGAAGTTAAATTTAAAGACTGAAACCGGCTGGGCTCAGTGGCTCAGGCCTGTAATCCCAGCACTTTGGGAGGCCGACGGGGCGGATCACAAGGTCGGAGATCAAGACCATCCTGGCTAACATGGTGAAACCCCATCTCTACTAAAAATACAAAAAAATTAGCCAGGTTTGGCAGCCTGCGCCTGTAGTCCCAGCTGGTGGGGAGGCTGAGGCAGGAGAATGGCGTGAACCTGGGAGGCGGAGCTTGCAGTGAGCCGAGATCACACCACTGCACTCTAGCCTGGGTGACAGAACAAGACTCCGTCTCAAAAAAAAAAAAAAGACTGAAACAGTGTAAAATTTTTTTGTTACACATAACTTCACCTTTTGTGTAAGATTACATGGCATGTTAACCATTTCATGGAATAATATTACTATATATAAAGCACTTATGAGGGGCATGCATTATTTCTAGTATTATACATAAACACATCACCAATTGAGCAGATGTCAACAAATTCACTACAATTTTTTTCCAGGTATAAGCGTAATATTGCGTTTTTAAAAATATTTTTTGTAATCAGTAAATATCCCAATAATACCAATATAAAATGTAATTGATAATTAAATTAAAATGTTTATTATTGTTTTTATTATAATGTAACTAAACCATTTTTCCAGATTAAAGAAATGAATATGGGTAATTTTTTAACATGAAAATGAAGGCATATTATTGATGCAGATTTGAAAGAAAATGCAAAAGCTGCTACTACAACTGGAAAGGTAAAGAAAAAAAAAAAGCCTGGAAGAAAGTATGTCACATGTTTTATGATGCATGGTGACTGCAATTTGTTGCAGCCAAGCAAACCAAAAAAAAAAAAAATGTGGTTTGTTGTGTAACAAGTTTTTCGAGATAACAAAGTAAAAAATGCTGAGACATTTTCAGCCAATATATAATGAATTTGATAAGGTTTCTCCCAAGAGTAAAAAAGGCAATCAATAGATTTAGTTACCTGAATTAGAATTAAATATCCAACAATAATTTTGTAAGAGTCTTAATGAGATCTGAGAGTATAACTTTGGTCAGCTATAAAATATCTTAGATTCCTACACAAAATAGAAAATGATTTCTGAATGTAGAGATGGTAAAAAAAATTACTATTCCAGTTATAAAAAGTTTATTTAAAAATTATGAGAAGCCAGGCATGGTGGTGCTCACCTGCAGTCCCAGCTACTCTGGAGGCTGATGCTGGAGCATCACTTGAGCCCAGGAGTTTGAGACCAGCATGGGAACAGAGTAAGACTCCATCTCTAAAATAAAAATTTTTAATTAAATAAAGAATTTTAAAATTATGAGAAAAATATAGAAAACATGTTTTAGAAATAGTAAAAGATCATCAATTAAGCAATAAAACAAGTATCAATAGAATACTAGACCTTTCTAACACTATCAAAAATAGATTCAAATTTGAAAAATTGCGAGTACTTTTATTTAGCTTTATATGAATCACACAATATTAAGAGACACAGCCCAATTAATACGTTGGTATATTTTGTCCCATTTTGACTTCCAAATGTATAAACAAATGTCAATTTGCAACCTAAAAAATCAGACTCATCACATAGACTTTTAAAATGTTTTGTAACTCTCAAAAAACAGTTTCACCTAAATATGAAAAATTTGTTTCCATCACTAATCCAAGTTTGACTTAACACTACTGTTAAGTTACTGGAATTTTAAAACAAGACACTGATGTTTCCCTTATTGATTTGTCCCACTATCTGATACATACTTGAAATATTCGTGTTCAGTTTTCTGAAGCAAACTCTAGGAAAATCATCATTGATATAGTTGTTAAAACTATGCAGTGTATATGTGCAAAAGCTACGAATTGTCACCAGGTTATAGAATATTTGAAAGAACTAAAAAACAATAAAATTAATAATCTTATATCGGATGAGTAATGGAAGAGTTGTACAGAAATTTCCTGAACTATAATCTCCAAATCCAATAAACTGTAAACTTCTCAAAACAAAAAGAATGCTTGCCAAATATCCAGTAATTAAAGGCAACAAATGGCAATGCAATGTACATTTTCTCACTGATGTTACACTGCATCTGAATAAACTGACTTTGAAGCTCTATGGAAAGCAAAAGTGTATTTGTGACTTAGGTACACATATATGCAAATTTATGCTAAAATTAAAAGTTTTCATAATACAAATCAATAAGAATTTTTATGTATTTTTCCAACACGAACCAATATGGAGAAGATTTTAATTGTAATCAATAGTATTAAATAAGTTGATTACAAAAACTATGAGAAGAACTTGGTGAACACTTTTTGACATTGATAAATGTAGGGCTGCTTTTCAATTTGTGCACTAACCCTTTGCATTCCATTTTAATAATACTGAGTTGACAAAAGAGCTAATGAATTTCACTAATTTTAGCAGTCTTAATTTTGAAACTGATGCACATTTGCTTCAAAGTCAAATCAACTCTTTAAAAAAGATACATTCTTTGTGTCAATGTGGATGCAAATATTAAAGAAAAAAATATTCTTTTGGTAATTGATTCAGTTATCAGGTATTTTTAAAGTACGTTGGAAACAATTGGGCATGTGAATCTACTTTTTCAAAGATAAATATTATGAGCTCACATATAGTCCATGAACATTTAGCATCAGAACTGAGATATGCTATGAGTGTAAAACACATCAGAAATATGGAAGACATTGTACCAAAAAAAAAAAAAAACTCACTCACATTTTTATGTTGGTTTCATGTTGAAATAATGTTATTTTGGAAACATTGGGTTAAATAAAGTATATTATTAAAATTAATATTTTCTATTCCCTTTCTTTTTCAATTTGATTACTAGAAAATTTAAATTATACATGTGGCTCATATTTTATTTATATTGGACAGCACTGATCTAGAACTCCCCAGACTATATTTTGATACAGGGCAAGAGAGTTAGCATAGACCTGGAACAAAAATGTAAATGCATGAATTTATCCATTCCATATGATATGAATGTGAACTGTTTCTAAACCATTTTTGTGATTGCAATAAAAAAGATCCAATCGCCAAATCAATGGCTGCTTACCATATACCTTACCATAGGCTGTATTAATCTGCTCTAGAAAACATAACACGTTTGGCAAGGCAGCTATTATTGGGACTACTACGTGTTGAGCTTGCAGTAATCTACCATCATTCTCCAAGTTCCATCCAGCTTTGTCAGGACCAGATTTATGAAATAAATGGAAATATGATGGGAATCTACCATCGTCCTCCAAGTTCCGTCCAGTTTTTGAAAGGGCCAGATTTATGAAATAAATGGAGTTATGATGGAGACCACTACTTCTGCATCCTTTAGATCCTTTAAGTATGACACTAATCTCAATCATCCCCTCTATGATGTGATATTAGTTTTGATTCACTATCTTGACTACAGGGATATGATAGGGTAAGGGGAAGATCCTAGTCTTCCTTCTTTCCTCTGTAGTAGGTCTGACCACACAGACTAATGCCCCAGTACGGTTCTTGCACCAATTGCGAAGTATGTCAAGCACAAATGTATATTAAAGAAGGGGAAAATAACCACCTGACCTCATACAGGACTTCATATGCCTGCCCTCCAACAGGAGCATCATATAATTTAGGTCTTCGGGTATCAATATCAACTCAAATCCATGCTCAATAGTCCTTGGAATGCCTTTGTGATCCCCTTTCCTCAGTGCAGTTACTTATGTAAATGACCTTAGGTGTCTTTGTAGAAGGGCTTGGGAAACGTTACTGCAAGTCTATGCCATGATGTTGCCGTGGTCCTTCTTCCTAGGGACTTAACCACCCCTCTGGGCAATATTCTTAGTTCTGGTTGAACTCTAACAAAACAAACCTACTGTGGTTGAGCATTTAACCACTATCACTTTAAACGTCAGACCCTATCACTATTAAGTCTTAGCTTGGTTCTTGATTTCGAGATGAGAGCTTCTTTGTATGAAACCAAATGCCCTCTGGCTTTCTATTGCATTTACTCACCTTCAACTCTTCATTATCTCACTGTAAAGGATCAGTGGAATTTAGCGATAGCCTTCCAATCCTACCACGCTTATAGATACTATTTACTCATTTCATACATTTATCTCAAAAACCTGATATATCCTGATTGCTAGTACATTTCCTTCCCCCAGTTCACCATCTCATTTCATCACTAGTTAAAGTTTTGACAACAGGAATGTTATCTTTGGCCAAGCGCTGTGTGCATACCAGTGATTGGTACACAGGCTAATCACTTATTGTCAATCTGATGTCTAGAGATCTAAAGCCCCATTTAATCACCTGCTTTTCTTAGACCATGTCCAGTACCAATTTTCACAGGTTGAGCTCTTTGGAAGCAGATGTCAACAAAGAGAGATGAAGGTTTTGATGAAAAACATTGTTCCTTGGAGAAGGTGCACTGGGGCTGGGTCTTGGAATGTAGGATTGAGATAACAGAGAGGCATGGAGAGAATGATCTATAGATATTTCTTAAACAGAGTAAATAAAAATAAATCAGTGATTTGAGAAGATGGATTCTGTGAACAGGATAGATGTGGGGAGAAAGAAAATGGAATTAGGGACTGATCACATATCAGTGGAATCCAAAGAATAGACAATTGGAGAAGAGCAGCTTGAGAGTTGAGGTTTGAGGAACACCTACTTATGAACCACAGGAGAAAAATGGAAGGAGCTAATGGTGAGTAGGGAGAAGAATCTAGTCAATGCCTTAAGAATGCCACAGAAGAAGAATTTTATATAGGCAGCTCATCAGTGAGGCGAACCTACCACAACTCCCACGAGCCAATTTGCACAAGTACTACACTGATACTTAATTTTTCTCAATTAATTTTTTAATGTTTTCTCATTCATTATTTATGACAAATGTGGTTGCCAGATCTTTGATTCTGCCTTCCCTCAAGGTTAGAGTTTATTTCTTTAAATACACAAAAAGAGAAAGCATGTCTTTCCTGAGGAAGTCTGTGAAAATGAGCTGGAGATAAAAATATTTTAGTGAATTATCTTTTCCTGGCTACTGCAACGGCATATCTAGATATCTCATCATTACCAATTTGAGGGGTCAGTAATGCAGCCAATGGCTTGTGTCCAGGACAGAGACCTCCAGAGATGCCCTATGGGTTTGCATCCTTCTGCTGTGATCAGAAATAGGCCAACTGGCAGCACTGCAAAGCTATGGCTCCAGTTGTAAATACACAAAGTCCACTTAGGGGAAATGGTAGCTTATTATTTTCACGTTTAATAAAAGTGTGCATCGCTAATCCTCTCTAAAAGCTTGAGCAGCCATCTCCCTCCAGCATTTTGGAAACGTACAGCCATCAAAACCCACATGCCTCACACCCAGGTTCACTTTATTATCCAGCCTGCATCTCTCTCTTTTCTTCCTAAATCTGTCCGCCAAAACCCCAAACCAGGTCCCACATGGTCTAGGTCTTTTCAACAAAAGTTTCTCTCACCTTCTTGCCTTACATCAAATGTGGCTTTCTCCTGGGGTATCCCCTCTGCTTCCCTCACATCTTGAGACAGATCATTCTTGCACATTCTCTGATAGCTGCTCAATGCTATTTCTAGACAATTTCCCACTGTTTTCCTGTAGAAGGTCCCCTGCTTCTTCCAAGCTTGTGTCATTCTGCTTATGGGCCATTTTCCCGCCACTCATCATCATCATATTTCCAGTCCTGTATCATGTCTCCATCAAAAAAGCCTGCGGCAGCTGGCCCCCAGGGCTCTCATCTCAACCCAGAGCCCTGGGGCCCAGGCTTCCACAATTGCACTCACTTGGCCCAGTCCTCCTCACCTAGGCAACTTCTTTTCTGTTTCTCTTTCCTCTGTCTACATCACGGAGAATTTATTTTTACCAACAACCACTCTATTTCTGAAACAACAACCACAACAAATTCAGATGTTGCCTTCTGAGCACAACACTCTCTTAGCATGATCCCTCTCACACCTCCCACAGTCAACCTTCTGCACACAGAACCTTCCACGGAACCACCTCTTGGTCTCTGCAAGTGTACTCCTGCCTTCACTTTCTTCTCCAATGAGTTTAAACTCTGTGGTCCTCACTCGGTCCCTTTCTTACTAATGTCCTCAACTGTCTTGCCAATATATATTGGCAAATTTGGGCTACCATCACCTCTTTTCCAGACGAATGAAGCAGCTTATCAATTGATTTCCTGGCTTCCCATGGATTCTCCACTCAAGTCTCTAGGATGATCTTTTTTAACTGCAAAGCTGATCACATCACCTCCCCACTTTAAACACTTCAGAGGTTCCCCCATCCTGATTGCTTACAAGGACCTGCCTGATCTACCATTGCTTTAATCTCAAGCCTCATCTCTTCAACGCTCATTTATTAACTTCTGTTCCCATCCTCCTGTCATACTCAAATACTTTCAGTTCTTAGAATGTGTCTTCTCTGCCATTTGCCTCCCCTCCTTTCCCTTCCCCACTTCCCTTCTCCTTCTTTCCTTTCCATCCACTCCCCTCTCTCACTCATCTCTTTCTACAGGATGGTCCTTATCCCCAGAATGATTTTTTCCCTCTCTACTTTCCCTGATTTCTCCTATTTATCCTTCAGATATCAATCTCTCCAGAAAGCATTTCCTGACCTCTAAGTTGGTATAGCTTTCCCCTGCCCTTAGCATAAACTATCTCGACATTATAAAAGTATTATTATCTGAATTGGAATTGCTATAGTTCCTTAGCCTTACACACATGATCACCTCCATCACTCTGTTCGCCATCACACTTCCCACCTTGCCACTCAGGCTCTTCCCACAGCAGAGCAAGCCACCTTTCTCTCCTCATCCACCATCTCTCGTGTAAACTGCATTGTTCATATTTTCCTGAGCTCACCCGTCCTCTCCAACCACAATACTCTCCTGAACATTTCTCCATACACCAAGCTCTTTGATAACTTCATATCTGCATGATTTTTCTTCCTGCTTAAAAAAGCCTGTCCTCTCTAGCAGGAGACTTCCGAATCAGCTTAAAGATTGAGCTCAGATGTCAACTATTATGTAAGTCCAGTTCTCTTCTCTGTGCTTTCTCAGTGCTCTGCTCAGAACTCTCAGAGCACAGAACACTGTAATTCCAGACATAAATGTGCATGTCCCACTGAGACAATGTCCTGAAAGGCATGGCTATCTATTCAATGTTACATCCATGAGGCCTTGTGTGTAGGGAAGGGAGGAAGGGTTTCAATAATCATTAGACAAGTGTGGAATGGTTCACAAACCTCTCCTCAAGTTCCACAATTTTCATGATTTTCCCAAATTCAGCTATGCTTTTCAAACAATCACAATTGTCAGAGAATCACCCATTAAAATGTATGTGCCATTTATTTTGCTTCTAACTAGTCAGTATTTATACACAAAACTGTCTAAACTGCACTGTTTATGTTTTCGTGAGACCACAAGAATTTGCTAAAGGCAAAGTTGGTTGTTTTGACCAGACATTTCCATTTTTTCACAGGAAGATGATGATACAATTTTATCCTAGAACAAACCACAAGCCTAAATAAGAATTTATTAGAACAAAATTGTTGTTTTGTATGTTTGTTATTTCTTCTCAGCCTACCAAATCTACTATCATCTGAATGAAAGGTGTGAAAATGAAAAAGAAACAGCAAAAGAAATTTGACCTTTACTCTAGAATTTGATTAATGATTCTAACTTTCTTGGAAATGGTGTTATTTCACTAAAATATTAAAGCCTTTGGATTGTTATTTACTGAGCCTATAAACCACACATTTCTAAATTGTATTTGTTTTATGACTCACTGTCATTTGAAGTAAAATTAGTTCACTGAAATTACATCTCATACTGCGTAGTAGCCAAATATACATTGTCAATGGATCTAACTTGATACCCTGCCCTCTGACTTTTACAATGAGTCCATAAAATATTGGGAAATCAAGGAAGATGGGATGAGTGTTGTGGGAGAATTCCGCTTGCCCTTTGCTAGAATTTAGCAGAAGGTCAAAGGCAATAAAGTATTTATTTTTCAACCAACAAACATTTGTTGGGTACTTTCTAGGTACCTTGATATGTCTGTAAACTTTGGCAATACAGCAGCAATGAAGGGAAACACCACCACTGTCCTCTGAGAGTTTCCAGTCAAAAACGGGTAAGAGGCAGCTAAATAAGAAGCTACAGTAATGTATGATAAGTGTTATTGCACATGAAGGACAGAGTATCATAATTGCCCTCCTGAAGCTTATAGTCTACTGGGAAACACTTACTAGTCTTGTGGCTGTACAAAATTCCAGAGTTTACTTAAGGATTCTGGTGCAACCAAACTTGGGATATAGTAGACTACAGTCAGGAGAAGCAAAAGGGTCCAGTCTCAGGCTGCCATTTTGTGTTGCCATAAATAACCAGAACACTGAGATAGCTGGTCTGGCCCAGTTGTTAGACTATAGGGAGATTCACTGTTCAAGACTGTTGAGTGGGAAAACAGAAACAAGAAGTGAACATTCCCTGGCACTCAAACCAATAGATGCCAATAGGTTTGGTTAAATTTTCTTTTAGAAATAAATGGAAATAATTAAGTTATCAAACCCTATTGTGTCTAACATACAGTAAGTATTCAAAAATATTTATTGGGTAAGTAAGTGAATAACTTTACAGGCTTTCCAAAGGCAAAAGCAGTCTCTTTATGTCACTGATGACAATGCTTGTTATTGGACCCAGTACTATATAATGATTTGTCCCAGAATACAGAAAAGCAGTGAATGCTGAGTTTTTCAGGAAGGCTGGGACCTTAAAGTCACCACCTTAGAGTAAAATACTCCAATAGAACAGCTACAGATGGAAAGTCAGTATCCCACCTTTATTTGTCCCTGAAGACAAGAGCCTATAAACTTGATCCCTTTGGGTCCCCTGCATTTCTACCATTCAGGGAGAAACTACCAGCTGCATTTACAACTAGATTATCCCAAACAATGCAAATGTGTCTTCATTACATTTTACTAAATTTTCACTCAAATTTGGTTTTCTCAAAACAAAAGTGCCTTGGGATTCTAAAAAGGACCCATTTTCTGTACAAATGTTGGAAGAATCTGTCAGTGGCATGATACTTTTTAGAATATCCAAATCAGCTATGACCTCAGTATAAAGCTGTTCTATAATGGATTTGAGATGTGTAATTTCCAGACTTTACTTGGCAAAAAGATCTCTGTCTTTGCCAAACCACTTAGCAAGTGTTCCCATCACTTCAATCTGTCATGGGTTGTGTTTAATAAGGCATGTGCTTCCACAGCTACCCCCACTAGGCTGACAGGAGCTTGTCACCTGCTAGATGGCTGCAATCACTCTTCCCAATGATAAGGAGATAGAGGAGCATTCTGCATCAACAATGAAATCCTGCGTTCTTTTAGGGTATTCCAGAGATGGTTCTCAGAGGCTATGACCTAGAGATACAGGGCAATTAGAATACCCAATGGAATAGGATAGAAGATGGACACAACACAGATGTCATAAGAGCTACCTACTTTTCTCAATCCCAGTGAAAATTAAAGAGCCAGCATCTCAGAAGTGTTCAAGAGATCATTTTGTTTTAGCCTGGAGATTTTAAACAAATACAACTTTATTTCAGCTTTATAGATGAGAAGGCACACATAAAGAGAGAACAGGTGTGTTGCCCAGAGACAGACAGCAAATCAACAAAATATTTGAGTACAGAAACCAAACCTCTTACCTGAAAATAATCTTCACTAGAGCTCTCAAACTTTTCCACCTAAATATCTTTAATTACAGAAGAGGGTATGCACTCAACCCCAAGGGAAGGAAATAGGAACTCATAGCAGCTGGCCATAAGCATAAAATTTCTCTGAAATCACATGTTGCAATTTTTAAAATTTTTGCAAATTTTGTATTCTACTCAGTGAAGCATCTGTTTGGTTTAATAGAAAATCATTTTTCCTCAAAATTACTAGACAAAATTGGTGCTTCAAGAAGATGCCATGTTTGTTCTACATCTTTGTATATTCTCAGGGATAAGGGCACCCAAGTTCAAGCAACATGCCTACTGCATGAGAATGTAACCATTGTTTCTCTGGCATTCTTCACTCACTCCATCCTAAAACAGTCTTATCATACAAATGGCATTTTGCTGCCTAGACTTACCTCCTGAGATGTAGTCATGGTGGAACAAGACAAGGAAAGAACCACTGTCATCATGCAGTTCTTGATTTTTAAACTCAACCCTCCAGCCTTGAAAGATTTTCCCCAACCCTATGTCATAACACCACTGGATTGGTAGATGAGGGTGAAGAAAGAAAGTCATGAATCCCGGAAGAAACTATCTAAATAAATTGGCTCCTCACCTTCCAAATTTGTACATAAGTGCAACAACACGGAAAGTTCACAGTATTAATAACTATGAGTTGGTCAGGAATACAGAATCAGAAGGTTCTAAGGATCCTTGTTCCATTTGCTAACTTGAGCCTCTTCTCTTGGGAAAGGCAATATTCTATAGTAGGAGTCAAATTCCTTCTTTCAATATCAACTTATTGTCTTTTCTACTGTATTTTTGTTATAATCATTGCCAAAGTTACTTTAGATGTAAGTACTTTACTTTAGATGCAAAATATTAGACAGAAAGAAATGTACACTAATAAGTTAAGCCACTGATGCATGTTGCATGTTGCATACCTTATGTTCAGTCCAAGACTGGCTACTCGAATTTTTAATATTGTGGCATTGTACAGATATCACACACCTACCACTGTAAAGTCAGGTGGTGGTCCTTCCTCTGTTGGAGTATTCTAGGAGACAGCACATTTGATGGCTAATTTTAAGTGTCAATTTGACTGGGCCATGAGGTCCCCAGATATTTGGTCAAACATTATTCTGGGTATGTGTATGAGGGTGTTTCTGGATGAGATTAGCATTTGAATCAGTAGGCTGAGTAAAGCAGATTGCCTTCTCTAATGTGAGTAGGCTTCATTTAGTTAATTGAAGGTCTAAATATTTTTCAAAAGGTGCAGTAAGAAGGAGCTCTCTCTCTCTCTCTCTTTCTGCCTGTCTTTGAGTGGGGACATGCATTTTTTCCTGCCTTTGGACTCAGACTCATACTAGATCTTACACCATCAGTTCTCATGGTCCTTAGGCCTTTGGACTCAGACAGGATCTATACCATTGACTCTCCTAGGTCTCCACTTTGTCAACTGCAGATGCTAGGACTTCTCAGCCTCCATAACTGAAGGAGCCAATTGTTTACAATAAGTCTCTTATAATAAATATATGTACACATTTAACCCTTAAACAACACAGGTTTGAACTGTATGGGTCCACTTACATGTGGATTGTTTTCAACAAGATGCAGATTAAAAATGCAGTACTCAAGGGAGGCAAAACCCTTCTCTATGAAAGGCCAACTTTTCTTATAAGTGGGTTCCATGGGCTGACTGCCAGACTTGAGTATGCACAGATTTTGGCACACGCAGGGGGTCGTGCAATCAATCCTCCATGTATATCAAGGGATGACTTCGTGTGTATACATACATATGTCATTAGCTCTCTTTTTCTGAAGAACATTGACTAATATAGCACCCCACTCCCACTCTCTCCACTAGATCTGGAGCTACTCAGAGATGACTTGCGGCCACTGACTACATCACTGTCATTGCCACTGACTACATCACTGTCATTGTCTCAGTTGCAATTATATAGTAAATGTATTTTTCTCTCATTTTGAAATGTTTCCTTTAAAATGGAAGCATTTACTTGATCTGTGCTATCTTTTATGACTGTTGAGTAACTGAATTTTATGGTATATCTATTACTAATATACTTGGATCCCACAGAGGAATTTATGTGTGTTTCTTAAGTTTAATAAAATATTATGCATATGTTTTTTTATGTTTTGGCAAGATTTCCATTACATTGGCTTGGTGCAGTTTATGCATTTTTTATTTTCTATTTTAATATAGATTCTGTTCCCTGGGATTTCTATTAGTAATGCTGGAAGACTCGGAGCAGGCTTTTAGAAGTAAAAGTTGTTATTTAAACCCTTCCACAATGCATAATTAAATACATGGCAGTGAAGGATGATACCGTACATTTAATAGATGAAGCCAATTACAGTAGCAGCTTTAAGGAAAAAAGTTAGAATTCTAACCCTAGAGTTTGAACCTTAGAAGGTCAGCTAATTACCCATCTCCCCAAACTTATAGCAATGCCCAGGCAACCACATGATCTAATAAAGGAAGCAATGACTAGAGGGCAATGTCTCCAATATTAAGAATAAACTAATGTCCCCAAAGTACTTGGGGCAGGGGGCAGCAAAGTTCCCATAGATTAGAAAGGGGCCACCAATGTCTCCAAACATATCCTATGGGCAACAGTTCCCTGATTGCTGAGAAGGACTTTGTCTGAGCTCACTTTCACCAATCTGCCTTTCCCTCACCCCATCCAGACCTTTCTGTTGCCATATGACCTTTGCACAACTTTACTAGTACTATAGCTGCCCCCTCCCCCAAGCCTACTGCATGTCCCACAATAGCGGCTCCCTCTTCTCTTTTGCATTCTGTACCAAAGACCCGGAGGGAATTCCCTCCCACTCTGACCCACATAGACTGTGACTATGAATATGTCACTGTGATTTTGCCAAGAAGGCACCCCTGGATATCAAGCCTTAAGCCAGGTCAGATTCTACAATCATGTCATCAGACCCTATGCTGGGTGCCAGTGATGCACAGGGCAATAAGACAGAGTCCCTGACTTGGAAAGGAAATCAGACATAAGTGGCTCATTTCAATGAAAGGTCATGGGGGCTCGGAGGCATATGGTGCTAAAGCTTAGAACAGAGTCACTAACTCAGGCCTGGAGTTCAGGAAGGGCTTTCTGGAGACAAAACCTAAACTGAGTCTGAAGGAAGTTGGGAATATGAATGATACAAGTAAAAGGCTTCCTTAACCCTCTCATACTGTACCATCTCCGACTTCTAATTTGCTTTTCCAAAAATAGCCCAATTATATAAAACCCAGGTCCCAAAGCCACAGGGCAACATGTCCTAGTTCCTGGAGTCCTCAGTGGTCAAGACCCCCACAGGATACCATCCGGGAAATCACCTGTTTGATGAGACTAACACACACACACACACACACACTCCTGCTCTCCATCCATGGGGCATCATCTCAGTCTGCAGCATCTCACAAGGGCGTTGTGTTTCCTCATTGCTGCAAGTAATGAAGCTTAAAAATGGCTTCTTCTTTTGTGGGGGAGGCAGGGATATGGGACAAACATCTCAATGCCTGAGAAGAGAAGTTCTAGAAAGACGAAGTAAATGATGCTCATATGCCCTGATTGTGAAGGGTATATCTTCCAATGTTTAGTGAATGGTTACTGCACCCAATTTAGATTTTCAATCCCACAGCCTACCCTGTGTGGGAAGACGAAGAGCCTCAATTTCCAGGTTTATAAATGTCAAAGATGGGATATTCTCACTAAAATTGTGGTAAGCATTTATGTGTTCATTAAATGTGATTGCTGCCATAATGATATACACCTTAAACTCCTTTAACCATTTAAGAGAAAACTTAAACTTCAACAAAACCCCATAGCACAGCATTAAGACCCAGTTTTGTATTTTTTTCTTTTTCCCTTTTAGCAAACCAATTACAGTGCTGGAGTGGGTGAAATACCCCAAGGAATAGTTTATAAGATCACATAGTAATTGGACCAATTTATAGTAGGTAACTGAGAAATGCCTAAAATTGTCATTTCTCCTGGTTAGGGCTGAATAGGAAAGAATGTGATTAATAAATAGCTTAAGCAGCAAACAGAAGGTAGTTACAACGCACCAATGCTCTGGGGAGATGAGGTATTGAGAAAATCATTACAATAA